>NC_000010.11:105749155-106052186 GCF_000001405.40 Homo sapiens | reverse complement strand
AGATCAGTGTGTCGAAGAGATATTTGCTCTCCTATGTTCATTGCAGCATTATTTACAACAGCCAAGATATGAACTCAAGTTTAGTGTCCATTGACAGATGAATGGATCAAGAAAATGTGGTATAAGATACGTGCATGCATGTATTCATTGCAACACTATTCACAATAGCAAAGACATGGAATGAACCCAAATGTCCATCAATGATAGACTGGATAAAGAAAATGTGGTACATATATGCCATGGATTACTATGCAGCCATAAAAAGAAATGAGATCATGTACTTTGCAAAGATACGATGCAGCTGGAAGCAATCATCCTTAGCAAACTAAAACAAGATCAGAAAACCAAACACCGCATGTTCTCACTTATAAGTGGGATCTGAACAATGAAAACACATGGACATAGGGAGGGCAACAACACACACTTGGGCCTGTCAGGAAAGGGTGTTGGGGAGCATTAGGGAAAAGGGCTAATGCATGCGGGGCTTAATACCTAGGTGATGGGTTGATAGGTGCAGCAAACCACCATGGCATACTTCTACGTATGTAACAAACCTGCACATTCTGCACATGTACCCCAGAACTTAAAAAAAAAAAAGAAAATATGGTATATATACACAATAGAATATTACCCTTAAAAAAGAAAAAAAGAATATCCCATTATTTGCAACAACATGGAAGAACCTAGAGGACACTATAGTAAGCAAAATAAACCAGCCACAGGAAGATGATCTCATTTATACGTGAAGTGTAAAAAAGTTAGTATACAAAGAGAGAGGAAAATGGTGGTTCCCAAAGGCTGGCTTAAGGAAGGAGATTGGAAAGATGTTGGTCAAAGGACACAAATTTTTTAGAAAGGAAAAATAAGTTCAAGAGATGTGTTGTTTATCTTGGTGACTACAATTAATACCAATGTATAATGTATATGAAGACTGTGAAAAGAGATTTTGTGTTCTTATCACACACAAAAAAATTATGTGTGAAACAATGCAAACATTAAATAGCTTGATATAGCCATTTCATGATATATACATATAACAAAACATCATGGCGTATACCATAAATACCATAAATATAAACAATTAAAAAATAAATGAAAAGAAAATATACAATCCTAAAAAATATCACTGCAATTCAGAAGCAGTTTTATCTACTTCCTTCCTAATACCTTGAAGTGTGTGTGTGTGTGTGTGTGTGTGTAAAACTAACTAGAAAGTTTATAAAAGGCCATGGAAGTGTAGCATGGTAGAGAAGATAATAAACTGGGTTATGGATATGCTATTAACTAGCTGGGTAACTTGGATAAGTGGATTAAACTCTATTGTTCTCCAGTTTCCTCTTTTATAGTATTTATTGAGTACAAGCTCTTTATTTAAAATATTTAGCATTCTGCGATTCCAAAACACTAGTTCTTTGTTTACTATTTATGTGACTCACTTTTCCTTTCCCAGGTCACTGATAGCTGTGACTCTGTGGTGGTCACATATATAATGATGCTTAGAGAATGGAAAGACCAAATAGTGAAACTCTACTGAATACATTGAATCATTTATTTGACAAGAGGAGAAAAACAAGTGAATTATATCCTTAAAGTTTGAATGGTGGTAGGCCAATAGAGCATTACTCAAAATAGTAACTTAGAGACTGTGAAAGGTTAGATTATTAATGAGCAAATATTTACCCTTCCCTTCAACTATCAATGGAAGATTATGCTTCCCCATCCAAAAAATGTTGAACTTAGCAATAGGACTGACTTTAGGTAAAGGAACATAGGGAAAAGTGACAGTTTACAATTCTTAATGGGAGCCCTAAGAAACATGATACTTTTCCTCTACCCCTGTCTTTCACTCCTACATTTTCACCATAAGAAGAACATGCCTTGAGTATCTGCGGGTCCAAAGAGAATGAAGATATGTGAAGCAGAATTGGACTCAACTCAGAACCTGGGGCCAAGTCGAGCTGAGCCTAACCTAGGTCAGCCAAAATCCAGATGATTCACAGATATCAAACTAAGAAAGAAATGCCTATTATTTTATGCACTGTTATATTGTGGTTACTTATCATGAAGCATTAAGTAGATATCTCATGCCAAGACTCAACAAGTTCAATTGCATTCTTAATTTTTATGATAATCTAAGTCAAAGCACAGGCAATGGATACATTTGATTTTTTTTTTTTTTTATGTATCTCTGGGTAATTCTACCCATTATAGGAAATACCACCTGACTGAGGGAGGACCTTCCCCTACCACACTAACTTTGAATGGAAATGCAAAATTAGCTCCTTTCACTTTTTTATTTGGTAAACATGAGTTGAGACTCCCCCATTTGGGAAAAGCTCAACTGTTCCTCCAAGACTCTTTAAAAAGTTATAACTAAGGCTCAGGGGAGAAGGTTGACTTATTAAATACAACCTTTAGTACTTCTTCATAACACGGTGAGACTCGCTGAGGCCTTGAACCTGCTGGAAAGAGTTTTACCAAACTAGAAAGGAACTCAATTTCAAAGAATGGCTGGAGAGCATTTGTATCTTTAGCGCAGAGTGCCCTGCTACACTCTATGTTATCAGCCACCTAGAGCTTTAGGTTACTTTTACCAAGAAAGACTACATTTTTTTCTTCATAAGCATTAAAACATTCCACAGGCATTCTTCTGCAGACTGGAAGCTACAATTTGTTATATGGGTCTGATTTCCAGAGCACACAAATCACAGGTCCTTGAAAATGTGTGTGGGCATTTTACAGAATGGTTTAGCTAGAAGAACATTTTCCTATACTACATTTTTTGGGGGAATAGCTGGGTTGTACCAATATTAGAAGCCAAATATAAGGCCACTTAAATGGACATTTACGTACATTGCTTTTTCTGGTGAAGTGAGCAGTTTTCAAAGGCCAGAAAGCCTCATATCTTCTCTCTCAGCTCTAAGGTTTACTAGTTATATCTTTGGACAAGTCACTTTAATTCTCTAATCTCAGATTCCTGATCCATAAATTGACCATATAATAGTCCCTACCTAATTAACATGTGAGGAAAAACAAAGTTAATAGATGTGAAAAGCTGAGTATATCATAAACCCTTGATAAATGTATCCTAGAGTAAGTGTTATTATTTTGGATCTGAAAGATGTGTCCTCAATAGAGCCATTTTCAACATCAGCTGACATTTTTGGAGAACAGAGACCATTCCTCAATTTTTAGAAATCAGACTAAATGAAATGTAACCATATAAGCTTATATATTATGCTTAGGATCATAATTTGGTTCTTTCTACATTTTTGGCATAATAGTACCCACTTAGGAAGAAAAGGCTGCCCTGTGCTGAAATCCTGCAGAGTGTCAGGTGCTAGGTATGTATATAAAGTGATTCATTAACTCTCACATCAAATCTCAGACTTAACAAATGACTACATTGGACTCTGGTTTTAAAGTGTGCTGCTATTATAAAATGCTCTTTCCCCTCAGTTTTTCTTGACAACTTTATCCTTTTATTTTTTGCCTCTCTGATTCTTTCATGATAAACTCTGCACTTAACTATTGTCCATTCTAAATATCACGTTTATAGCGTTACTTATTTTTTTCCATTTTTGGGTGGTGGAAATTGGGTCTTTGGAATTGTTACGTATAACAAGAACTAAAGAAAACCTTATGACTAAGTAGTAGACTACCTGAAAGCTTGATTGGCAGAAATGGAAGAAGTTGGCATTGGAAGGCCTTCACCCTTCGTCCCCAGTTTAGGAGTGAGGAATTAGGTTTGCCTAAATCAGGAACTAGCAGGTATTTCTAATATCCTAAATAAGCCCTAACTGGAATCTTAACCCATTAATTCTTATTTCTAGTCCCCATCAGGATTTAGTGTTTGTTAGATATTTGAATTCCAAAGATCAGTAGTCCCACATTCAATTCTGTTTTGTTCAATGCTGAGACTGTAGGGCCTCTATCAGATGCATAATAATAATTTTAATCATCATGTTCATAATTGGATTCATAAAAATGATGTTAATCATGTTAATTATAATAGGTGTGCTGGAACTTTATCCTGTGCCAGATGACATGAAAGGTTCTTTCTTTACCCTAAAACAGTTTTCTCCGTGTGTTATGAAGACTGTCTTACCACTGCCCAGTGCTTGGTGAGTTTTGCCTGTAATATGTCATCTAAAAATTCAATGAAAATATGTTGCTGATTATAATATTCACAATTTCAGCATGAAACTGATTACAATTTCAAACGGGGGTAATTTAAGAAAAGCTTAGCAAAAGAATAATGTATAAAGGCATGAGCAGTGTTTAAGGAAGCTCACAAGGAACAGTGCAGTAGTCCTGGGCTAGTATCAGCTAGGTAGGCATAAATACCTTTATACCTGCAAAAGCAAGGGAAAGAAGCAAAGACCTGAACCCTTGCTGCTTAATGAGAGGTTGAGGATTGCTTCACAACAATCTGTCAGAGAAGGAGCTGGATAATAGATACCTGGAACTCAATTTCCTCCAGCCACACCCCTTAATTTCTCACTCTTCTTTTTCTCTTGATTCAAGTTCGAGGGTAAGGACAGTACCATGTTGATACTGTCCAGGTAGGTAAACTCAGGACACAGAGCAGGATGAAAATGGTAAGAAAGTGGATCTAGAGGGACAAATGGAAGATATCCTGCATAATAATTGGTAGAACTTCTCAGAGAACAAAGACAAAGGAAAACTCAAATATTTTTATAGGAATGCTAAGTAGGACTTATTGAACAATAAATCTTTTATATTGAAAAGGGTAAAAATATGTGATATATCTGTTTAAAAAATGAACATTTGAAATCACTGATTTCAGGGTAGATATGTGAAGCAATGGACCAGATGAAGAGAGGCAGAACATAAAGTGTTTATACTCCCATGACACAAAAGCAAGGTGAGAAAAGAATATAAACGCAACTCAAACATGTAGAATAGAAAGTCCAACTGAGATCCAGACACCATTTCCAATGGCCTTGGTTATGGGAAAACTTTCCTCAATGTTAGTTATATTATCATGAAATATGCAACAAATAAATGAAATAAGCTGAAATTAAGAAGAAATATCAAGTTATAGAACTTACTGCCGAAAATGTTGTCTGCAGACCAGACATCAACATTGGCATCAACTGGAAGGTAGAAATTTAGAATATTGGGTGTTAGTCTAAGGATTATTGAATCCAAATCTGTATTTTAACAAATCCACAGATTCATTTGCTTTAAAGTTTGAGATGCACGGATCTCGTTGTTTCTTTCATAAGCTGGGGAGGTGATTGTGCAATGAATAAATGATGGGAAGAAAGTGCAGTGACATGGTGCTGTATGCTAAGTGGAGATAAGGCTAGACAGAAATATTAGGCTAGGTTCTGGGGGAACCTGTGGGCAGCCCAAGAAGGTAGCTCACACCTGTAATCCCAGCACTTTGGGAGGCTGAGGCAGGATTATCATTTGAGGTCAGGAGTTTGAGCTCAGCCTGGCCATCATGGTGAAACTCAACTTTACTAAAAATACAAAAATTAGCTGGGCATGGTGGCATGCACCTGCAGTCCCAGTTACTCGGGAGGCTGAGGCAGAAGAATCACTTGAACCCGGGACATGGAGGTTGCAGTGAGCCAACACTCCAGCGTGGGCAACAGAGGGAGACTATCTCAAAAAATATATAAATAAATAAATAAAAAAAAGCAGCAGCAGCCTGAACTTCACCCCAGTCAATGGCGTACCACAGTTATCAGAATGTAGTTATTCGGTGTTAGAGTGTCTACTGCATGGGTGCTCTTTAATCTTAGATAAGTCTCCTAATTAATCTACTTATGTTTGAAATGTTTCTGGTAATTTGGTTTTCTTTCTTTAATAAGCTGTTGATTTATGTGTTAACTTTATTATATTTCTGCAAATTTCCAGCTTTGTTATAGATCTTTTCTCTTTTAATTTGGAGTTGGTCGAAATCTGAGATAGGACTGATAAGATCCGTCTTAGTGAGTTAACTTTTTAGAGAAGTAATCTAAAATTTGTGTCCTGGAAAATTTTTAAAGTATATTTGGCCCGGGGCAGTGGCTCACACCTGTAATCCCAGCACTTTGGGAGGCTGAGGCGGGCAGATCACCTGAGGTCAGGAGTTCAAGACCAACCTGGACAACATGGAGAAACCCCATCACTACTAAAAATACAGAAATTAGCCGGGCATGGTGGCAGACGCCTGTAATCCCAGCTACGCAGGAGGCTGAAGCAAGAGAATCTCTTGAACCCAGGAAGCAGAGGTTGCAGTGAGCCGAGATCACGCCACTGCACTCCAGCCTGGGCAACAGAGTGAGACTCCATCTCAAAAAAAAAAAAAAAGAAAAGAAAATAAAGTATTTTCACTGAGTTCTCATCGTATTTCCTGTTTTCCAGAATTTCTCCATGAGCTGTATTCTTTTGCAGTTTGGATTGATTTGTCATGCTTTGCTTGTTTTTTTTTTTTTTTTTTTCCTCCAGAAGTAAACTTTCTCAAGGGGGTTCCTAAAAGGATGTTGTATAGAAAATAGCCACATGAACTTTATTAGCTTCGTATTGGAATTCTCTCTCAGAACACAATCTAATCCCTATTTCAATATACAATAACCAAAGCCCACACTGTCCAATGATAAACTGCACTAATAAGACCCTCTGGACTGTTTCTAAGGTAGCACTATGAAGAAAAAAAAATCAAATGCCCTTAAAGATCCTTTTTAAAGCAAAAACACCTGCTTTCCCAAATGGAGAGTCTTTGAAATCAGTGTGCATTTATTTTTGCAGTATATTCGGCCTTGGCTTCAGGAAGCATCAGGTGAATGTCACAAACTCAGTGAGTCATTCTCCCTCACCACTCTGCCCACCCCCACCCCCCACCCCACCCACTACGGGGAATAAAAAATAAGATTATTCTTAGAAAAATACACCTACTTCAGAGAGCTGTTCTGTTGACTGAGTGCTCTTACAAAGTAAGGGGGCTATTTTTTCTCTGCCTATACTGATTTCGTCTTGCATGTATGTATGTATTTGTTTATTTGTCTGCTTGTTCATATCTTGTGCATTCAGGTATCTATTTATTTAGTAGAGGTGACTAGGAGCATTTTCTGACTTTTTTCTCTGTTTTTCATTCATGTCTTTTCTTTGTAAGCATGTAGTCTTCTCTTTCAAGGGGAGATATCCACAACTACTAAATAACTGTTCATCTCATTAACAAACTATGTGGATATAGTCAGTGTTGGGAAAATATGATTAAAAACAAAATCTCCTCCCAATCTAAAATAACTTCTCCACATATGGTTTTCCACAAGAACAAGAAATAATTTTATTATTGAATAAGCATTAAAGCAAAATCTGGTGTACATCACAGGCAATCCACTAAAGAGATTGCAAACACAGAAATAAATCTCACTTTTATACAACTAAGCAGACACAACACATTACATACGTGTTCAAGATAAACAATCACTAATCCTCAAGGAAGAGGACTTGACAGCACCATTTGTCACACATAGTTTATTCTAGATTCGCTTGGTAATTGGGGTGGCCATCTGTGTTAGCTAATTGGCTTTATCTAAAGGAGAAATAAAATTCTCATATCATTATGACAGGAAGTACTTTTAGAGAAGGACACCTGGCCCCCTGAAATTAGGCTACTGCCCTCCCACAAACTAGGAGGTAGAGACACTATTTTCTTTGATGATTACATTTGAAAGATGTGGTTCCCAGATTCTTGGGAAAGATATTCCTGGATGCTAAAGCTGGTGAGAGGCTTATTTAGTCTATAGAAAGATTTCATGCATTTCAAAGAGACAAAGAGCTTACAATTACAAGTCTTCTAAAGTAAATGCTCTAAGAAAAGTGAGTGGGGTGAAGGCTCTTCCCTTATTTTCCAGAAGAAAGTAGAATTAAACTTCTCATTTTTAACTTGTACTTATCCTTACATCAGCCAAACACATCTCACCAGGAATCAGAAGCTCAAGGCGTTAGTGCTTGCTTTCTCACTCAGTAGCTGTTGCTTATTCTGTGAGTTTTATTTTCCATCTATGAGAAACTTAGTTAGAAACTGCATAATGTCAAAGGGCTTACACACAATGTGTGGTTCATGAACCAATAACAGTGGAGTTTGTTGGAAAACAGAATTCTAGGCTCTCTCCCAAGACTGAATCAGAGTGCATATTTTAACAGTACTTCTAGTGATTCAACGTGCATTTAAGACTCAGAAGCACTAGTCTATGACCATGGTTCTCTATGAGTAAACATAGTTAACCACAGAGAACCATGGTCATAGACTAGTGCTTCCGATGTACCCTAAAACTTAAAGTATAATAATAATAAAATATTTTTTAAAAACTATGTTTTACTCATATTAAATTGTGCTTTTTAAAATTATTGAGCTGTGAGTGTTTTTAATATGCTCTGGATAACGATGTTTATTGGATATGCGTTTTAAGATATATTCTCCAAGTTTTGGGGTTGTATTTTCAATTTTTCGATACTGGTTTTCAAAGAACAGTTTTAATTTTGATGAAGTCAAACTTACCAAGTTGTTTTCTCTCATGATTCTTGCCCTTTTTGTCTCATCTAAGTCATATCTGCATAAACCAAGGTCACAGAGACATTATACCATGTTTCCTTCTGAAGGATTTATCAGTTTTGGTTTTATATTTAGGTTTATAATGTAATTATAGTTAATTTTTGTTTATCATATAAGCTATACAACATGGTTTATTGAATGTTTTTGCAAAAGTCTTTGCAATTGTAATTGTAACATTTAATTATTCTAGCATCGTTTGTTGAAGACTAGCCTTTCCTTGATTAACTGCCTTAGCATTTGTTTAAAAAAATAATTGATTAAATATATTTACAGTTTACTTCAAGATTTTCTATTCTGTCCCATTGATTACGTTTTTTTAAAACAACAACAGAACCATAACTTACAATGATTTGTATTTTTATTATTTAGTCAATACCACACTGTCTTGATTACTATAGCGTTATATTAGGTTTTTGACATTTAGATATTCTTTATAAGCATTCTGGATATTATTCTTTTATTAGATACATGATTTGAAAATATTTTCTCCTATTATCTGTGTTGCCTTTTTACTCTGTTGATAGTGTCTTTTGATGCACAATTTAAAATAATTCATGAACTTCAATTTGTTTATTTTTTCTTTTTTTTAACCTATGCCTTTAGTGCTGTACCCGAAAAATCATTGTCAAATTCAATGTTGTGAAGACTTTGCCCTGTGTTTTCATTTAAGAATTTTATAGTTTTAGATCTTAACATTTAAGTCTTTAATTCATTTTAATTTTTTGCATATGGTGTTAAGCAAGAGTCCAACTTCATTATTTTGCATATGGATATCCAGTTTCCCAGACCATTTGTTGAAAAGACTATCTTTTCCCCATTATTGATCTTGGCCCCCTTGTCCAAAATCATTCAACCATGTATGTGAGAGTTTATTTCTGAACTCTCTATTCGATTCCATTGATGCATATGTCTGTCTTGATGCTAGTATACACAGTTTTGATAACTGTAGCTTTGTAGTTAATTTTGAAATTAGGATGTGTGAGTCCCCCAACTTTGTCTTTCTTTTTCAAGATTGTTTAGCTATTTAGAGTCTCCTGCAATTCCATATAAATTTTTGGATGGGTTTTTCTATTAACACAAAATTTTAAAAATCTTTGGAATTTTGATAGGTATGGCATTGAATCTATAGATTTTTTTTGTAGTATAGACATCTTAACATTATTCATTCTTCCAATCCATTACCATGGGATGAGTTTTTATTTATATATGTCTTCTTTAATTTCTTTCAGCAATGTTTTGTAGTTTTTCTTTTATAAGTCTTTTACTTCCTTGGTTAATTCCTAAAAATTTTATTTTTCTTAAGGATGTTGTAAATTTAATTGCTTTTGTAATTTTCTTTTCTGGTTGTTCATTGTTAGTGCACAGAAATGCAACTGATTTTTGGATGCGAACTGTACATCCTGCTAATTTTCTAAATTTATATAAATACATATAAGGTCCTACTATCTGCAAACAGAGATAATCTTATTTTTCCTTTCCAGTATAGATGCCTATTATTTCTTTTTCTTGCATAATTGCTCTGCTAGGACTTCCAGTTCTATGTTGAGTAGAAATAGAAGTGGCAAAATGGCCATCTTTCTCTTGTTATTGATTTTAGAAAAAAAGCTTTTAATTTAAACCAAAGGTTATTATGTTGAGATAGTTTGTTTTGATTTGTAGTTTGTTGAGTATTTTTTTTACCCTGAAATGGTGTTGAATTTTGCCAAATTACTTTTCTGCACCAATCAAGGCTATGCTTTTTAAAAAATTATTCTGTTAATGTGATAGTACACTGGTTTTCATGTGTTAAATCATTCTTGAAACCCAAGGATAAATATCCCATTTGGTCATGGTGTAGAGTTATTTTAACATGATGCTGAATTCAATTTGCTAGTATATTGTTCAGGGTTTTGCATTAATATTCCTAAGGGATATTTGGTCTGTAGTTTTCTCCTCTTGCAGTGTCTTTGTCTGGCTTTGGTATCATGGTAATACTGGCCTCATAGAATAAGTTAAAAAGTGTCCCTACACAGCTAAATTTTTTGGAAAAGTTTGAGAAAAATTTGTGTTAGTTCTTTAAATCTGTGGTAGAATTCACCCATAAAGCCATCAGGTCCAGAACTGTTCTTTAGTGGGAATTTTTCTTTATTGACTCAATCTCTTTACTAGTTATAGATTTATTCAGATTTTCTGTTTTTTATAGCTAAATCTTGGTAGGCTTTGTATTCCTAAGAATTTGTTCCTTTCATGTACTTTGTCCAAATGGTTGTTGTACAGTTATTCACAGTACTCTCATAATCCTTATTTCTGTAGAAAGCAGTAATGTTTCCACTTTTATTACGAATTTTAGTAACTTGAGTATTCTCTTTGTATCTTAGTCCATTTAGCTAAAATTGTGTCGATTTTGTTTACCTTTTTAAAGAGCCAACTCTTGATTTTGCTAATTTTCTGTATTATTTTTCTATCTTCTATATTATTTACCCCTGCTCTACTCTTTATTATTTCATTCTTTATGCTACATAGCTTTGGGTTTAGTTTGTTTTTTTCCAATTTTTTAAGTTGTAAAGATTTTTGTTGTTTTGTTTTTTTTAAATGTATAAACACTTATAGCTATAAATTTCTCCCTTAGCAATCCTTTCACTGTATCCCATAAGTTTTAATATGTCATGTTTATACTTTCATTCATGTTTAAGTATTTTCTAATTTCCCTTATGATTTCCTTTTTTAGCCATTGTTTAATAGTCTGTTGTATAATTTCCACAGTTTTATGAATTTTTCCCAGTTTTACTTATGTTATTAATTTCTAACTTCATTCTACTGTGACCAGAGAAGATAATTTGTATGCTATCTTTCCTTTCAAATATATTGAGACTGCTTAAAACATATGGTCTATCCTGGAAAATGTCCCATGTATACTTGAGAAGAATGTGTATGCTGTTGCTTTTCAGTAAGATGTTTTGCACGTGTCTGTAAAATCTAGTTGGGTTATTGCTTTCTTTAAGTCTTCTATTTCCTTAATTATCTTCTATCTGGCTGTTCTATTCATTATTGAAAGCTGAGTATCAAAATCTCCAACTATTACTGTAAAACTATTTCTCTTTTGCATTCTTTCAATTTTTGCTTTATATAATAATATGTTAGTCTGTTCTTAATTATGTAAATCTTCATATTTTCAATATTTATTGCTGAATTGAATCTTTTATTAATATATTGTTTAATGTCCTTTGTGTTCTTATAAACATTTTGTGATTTAAAGTCTATTTTGTTTGACATTAGTGTATTAGGTTCTCCAGAGAAATACAATACACACATATATATGTGCACATATAATATACAAATACATATATAAATATATACGCACACATACATATATATCATGTATATGTATATGTAAACATGTTTGTATATATTTTTTATGTGAAATAGCTCACATGGTTATAGAGGTGAGGAAGTACCACATATTGCTATCTACAAGCTGGAAAACCAGGAAAGCCAGGGGCATAACTTATCCCAGACACAGAAGTCTGAGAATCAGGGCTCTGATGGTATAAGTCCTGATCTGAGTCCAAAAGCCAAAGAACTGGGAGTGTTAATGTCTGAGAGCAGGAGGAGGTAGAGGTCCCTGCTTAAGCAGACAGAGAAAATTTGCCATTCCTCCACCTTTTTATTCATGCCCTCAGCAAATTGGAGCTGTCCACCCACATAGTGAAGGCAAATTTTTTTATTCAGTCTACTAATTCAAATGTTAGTCTCTTCCAGAGATACCTTCATAGACACATTCAGAAATAATATTTTACCAGCATCTCATTTCTCTGTCAAGTGGACACATAAAATTAACCATCAAAAATCCACCTCTTGTTATCTTGCCATCCATATGCATTCCCTTAAATAATACCTAATATCAAAATAAAGACAATAGCAAGGTCATAATTCCACCTAATATGATAAAACTATCTTGCACACAACTTAAAATCCACTAACTCCTTCTCCAGAATGGGAGGTAAAGTCCTTCATATAATGAATATAAGTCAGTTAATATTATCTACTTATTCTTGAGTAGTCCTTGGTAGTTCACATCTTTCAAGGGACATGTCCATCACTTTATCTAGGTAGTAAAATTTATTGGCCTAAACTTGTTAATGACAGTTTCTTATTATCAAAATGTTATGAATTCCAGTTTCTAGTCATATAAGTAAAGAACTTGGAAGTCATCACTCTTATTCTCAGAGGAAGAAAATCTGAACAAATTAAAAATCATCAACTTTGCTTATATTCTTTAGAAAAATGAGGACACGGGGAAAACTGCTGCCCTGAAAAAACTGAAGAGAGGTACATACTGAGAACAAGAGCTTTCTGGATGTAGAAGATGCCTGCTACTAGAGCAGGTACTGGTAGGGGCAAAACTGTGATTGATAAATTTCTGGAGGCAATTGTGGACAAGCTCAAGAGTTAAATTCCAGGTAGGATTGAGGAGCAATCTTTGGGGAACTCCTACACTTTGAGGAGTTTTATTTCTTGAGGAACTCCCACACTATTATGAGTTTTACTTCCAAGCCCACCAAGTTCCTTGAGTAAAGATAAAACAAAAATCCTCTCTTGCTTTCAGTAAGAAGAGGGGAAAGAGTAATCAATTTAAAATATACCTAGAGCATTATCTTCTTCTTAACAAAAGGCTGTCCTCAAGGAAAACTATTTTACCAGAGGCCCACAAACCTTGGGAAAAAAAAATCCACTTCTAGAAACTTCTAGTCTTCCTGTCTCACAAAGGGGGAGAAAAAGAAATAATAAGCACCTATAAAGGTCACAGCCCAGGGATACAGCAAAGTTAATCATAGGATTATAGAATGCTTCTCTTTCCCACAACTTACTACCATATTAATAGGGCTCCTGTACAGTAACAAAGCACCACAACTGAAAGAACTCAAGGCTTAGACCAAAGATAATAAAGGAGACAAAAACAAAAACACTAGAATAACTTTAGTCTCTTATATCACAGTTACTCAAACAGTAAATACAACACAACTCCTACCCAGAAAAATATAAAAACACACACAATAGGCCTATTTACTATAGTTTATTTAACCCAATGCATTACTTCCAGCATCTAAGAAAAAATTACAAGGCATGCTAATAGGTAAACACGCACACACACAGAGTCTGTGGAAACAAAGCAGGCATCAAAACCAGAATCAGATATAGCAGATATTTTGACATTATGAGACTGGGAATACAAAACAACTATGACTAATATCCTGAGACATCTAATGGAAAAAGTGGATATCATGCAATAATAGATGAGCAATGTAAACAGAGATAGGAAACTGTAAGAGAATCAAAAGAAAATGCTAGAAATAGAAAACACTTTGAGAGAAAAAATGAATGGCTTTTATGAATTAATGAGTAAACTGGATATAGCTGAGGGGAAAATATTAATGATCTTGAAGAAAAAGAGAAATAGAAAAAAAAGGAACAGAATATCCAAGAATTGAAGGACAATTTAAAACAAAGCATAATGTGCACATAATTGAAATGTCATAAAGAGAATAAAAAAGGAACAGAAAAACTATTTAAAGTAAAAATCGCAAACAATTTTCCAAAAGTAAGACAGACACCAGCCCACAGATCCAGGAATCCCTGAGAACACCAATCAGGAGAAAAAAAAAAAATATATATATATATATATATACACACACACACACACACACACACACACACATACATACATATATATCTCCTGTGTGTATATATATATTACATATAATCTCTCCTGTATATGTGTATATATATATACACACATATACATACATATACACATACAGGGGAGATTATATATAATATATATATACACATACATATACAGAAACATATGTGTGTGTATATATACACATACATATACACACGTATGTGTGTGTATATATACACATACATATACACACGTGTGTATATGTATACATATATATACACATACAGGCATATATACATATATATACACACAGACATATCATATTCAAACTGCAGAAAATCAAAGATAAAGAGAAAATCTAGAAAGAATTTAGAGAATAAAATGCACATTACATACAGAGGAACAAGGATAAGCATTACATTGAACTTCTCTTCAGAAGCTATGCAAGCAAGAAGAGAATAGAGTGAAATATTTAAAGTTTTGGAAGACAGAATCTACCAACGTAAAGTTCTGTATCCAGCAACCTTTTCAAAGTGAAAGAGAAATAAACAACTTCTCAGACAAATAAAAATTGATGGAATTTGTCACCATTAGACCTGCATTGCAAGACATGTTAAAAATATCTTCTTCAGAGGGAAGAAAAATCATATAGGTCAGAAACTTAGACAGTCATAAAGAAAAAAAGAGTATTAGAGAAAGAATAAATGAAGGTAAACCAAAATCTTTTCTTTCCCTTACTGTTAATTGAGCTAACAGATAATAAGTTGTTCAACAAAATAACGTCAACAATGTGGTCAGTGATTATAGCTTACAGATAAATGAAATGATGATATAAATGTAATGAGGAACTGGAGGGAGGAATTAGAAATCCTGTGTTACAAGGTACCTGCACTACCCAAAGTACCTGCACAAACTCTAGGGAAGCTTCCAAAAATGGTATAAAAACCAGTATAATTTATATGGACTAAGAAAGGAAAGAAAATAGAACCATAAAAAATACTAATTTAAAACTGGAGAAAGCAGAAAAAAGGTAGAAAAAGTGAACAACTAATATAAAACAGTTATCAACATGGTAAATTTAAATCATTTGTATCAATAATCACTGTATATTAATGGTATAAATACATCAATTAAAATGCTAAGATATTAAAAGTTGATTAAAGAGAAAAACAAGGCCCAATTATATGTTGTCTAAAGGAGATACGCTTTAAATGTAATGATAAAGACAGATTATAGGAATGATATGTATAAAGACATATCATTTTAGCAGAAATCAAAAGAAAGCTAAGGTAGCCAACATTAATTTCAGACAATGTAGACTTTAGAGCAAAAGAAATTATCAGGGATAAAGAAGGAAATTTCATAATAAAAAAGCGTCAATTCTCCAAGAAAACTAACAATCTTAAAAGTGTATATGCATAAAAACAATCAAAATACAGGAGGCAGAAACTGATAGAACTACAAGAAGAAATAGATAAATCCACTATTATAGTTGGTGTCTTCAACACTCATCTAACAGTAATTGACAGACCTAGCCGGCATAAAATCAGTAAGGATACAGTTACCTAAACAGTACTCAATTAATTGGACATAATTAGCATTTATAGAAATGTCATTTGACAATGGCAAAATACATCTTCTTCTCAAGGTTTTATGAAATTTGCCAAGATAGAATATTATCTAGGTCATAAAACACACTGACAAATTAATTAAGTAAATCATACAAGGCATGTTCTCAAACCACAATAAACTAGAAATCAATAATAAAAAGATAAATGTAGGGTCCCAAAATAATTAGAGAATAAATAATACAATTGTAAATAACACATGGCTAAAAGAAAAAATCTCAAGAGAAATTAAAAGGAAGTATTTTGAACTAAATGAAAATGAAAATATAAATTAAAATTTGTGAGATGCAGTAAAAGCAATGCTTAGAGAGAAATTTAGAGCATTGAATTTATATATTTAGAAAAGAAGAATGCTCTAAATGTGTAATCTAAGCTTAAATCTGAAAAATGAGAAAACAATGAGGAAATTAAATCCAAAGTCAGGTGAATGAGAAATAAAAAAATTAGATCATAAATTAATGAAATCAATGACAGAAAATTCATAGAGAAAATCAATGAGACCAAAGGCTAGTTCTTTGAAGAAATAATAAGATTGAAAAACCTCTAGATAGGTAACAAATGAACAAAATGCCAATAAAACAAAAAAGAGAGAGCAGACACAAATTAATAACAGAAATTAAAGAGGGACCATTACTACTGATGCCATGGACATTATAAGGATAATAAAATAGTGTTCTGAGCAATTCTATGCCCAAAAATTTGATTTTCTAAATGAAATAGACCAAATTTTTGAAAGACACAATCTTCCAAAGCTCACACAAGGAGAAATATATAATTGGAATAACCCCATATCTATTAAATAAATTGAATCACTAATTATTACTCTTCCAAAACAAAATGTTTCAGGTTCAAGTGGGTTCACTGGTGAATTCTACCAAATATTAAAGGAAGAGATGATATCAATTCTTTACAATCTTCTCCAGAAAAACAAACAGAAATGTCACTTCCTTTAAGGCCAGCATTACCTTAATACTGAAATCAAAGACATTACAGGAAAAGAAAGTTATAGGCCAATATATCTTATAAACATAGATGCAAATATGATTTTTAAAAAAGTATTAGCAAAATAAGTATACACCATGACCAAGTGTGAATTATCTCAGTTATGCAAAGCTGGTTCAAGATTCCAATATTAATTAATATGGTCTACCACATCAGTGGGCTAAAGAAAAACAAATTACATTATCATATCAATAGATTCATTTAAAAAATGACAAAATCCAACGTTCATTCATGATAAAAACACCCAGCACACTAGAAATAAAAGAGAACTTCTTAAGCTTGATAGAGAACATCTACAAAAAAAAAAAAACCCTATATCTAAAATCATACTTAATGGTAACAACCTAGTTTTTTTCCTGCAAAGCACTAGACAAGGGTGCCCACACTTACCATTATACTGGAAGTCCTAGCTAATGCAATAAGACAAGAAAAAGAAATGGAAGTTTTACAGATAAGGAGGGAAAAATAGAATAAACTTTTTCTTAGATGCCATGCTTGTCTATGTGCAAAATTCCAAATCAACTAAAAAACCCTCTTAGAATTAGTAAGTAATCATAAGAAGTTTGCAGGATACAAGATTAATATATGGAAGTTAGTTGCTTTTCTTTGTACCAGCAATGAAATATTGAAATTTGAATTTTAAAACACCATACCATGTACATTACTTCTTCCCTCTAAAGAATATTTAGGTATAAATCAAAGAAAATACATGCAAGGTCTATATGAGGGTAATGACAAACCTCTTGTAAAATAAATCAAAGAAGATCTAAATAGAGATATACTTCATGTTCATAAATAAAAATACTCAATATTTCCAACATGTCAGTTCTTCCCAACTTTTGAGCTATATACTCATTATAATGTCAATAACATTGATAGTTATATCCCTTCTTTTACTCCTAATCTTATATTTATTTTCTGTACTTTAGAGTTTGTTTTCCACTGCATTGATTTTGGCTGTTACCTTTATTATTTTCTTCCATTTAATTTGTTCTACTTTCTCTTATCTTTTTAAAATTTCTTCTGCTCCTATCTCTCTCTCTCTGTCTCACCTTCTCTTTCTCTTCCATCTCCCTGTCTCTTTCTCTATCTCATTTTTCCTGGTGTTTCAAATTAAGTACTTTCCATTGATTATCTTCCAGTTCACTGTTTTCCACTCAGCTACGTTGAGTCTACTGAGGAAATTTTTATATCTGATATAATTACATATAAGTGTTGTATCTTTTATGAGTTATAATAATATATAATATACTGATGAGATTTTTATATCTGATATGATATATATATAATTTTCACTTTATTAGTTCCACTTCTATGATTAAATTATTCATGTCTCCATGCATGTTGTGTACTTTTTCCACTAGATCTTTAAAAATTGATCATGGTTATTTTAAAGTATCTGTCTGATAGTTTCAAATACATCATCTTCGAATCGAGCCCTTTTTATTGCATTTTGTAAATAGCTTTTTCTCTGTGTCTTTTAATTTTTTATTCAGTTTGATTCAATTCCAGACATTATAACTTTCTGTATAGTATATAGGAAACTGATATATAGTATTTATGTATAAAAATATACTTGTCTTTTCTCAGTCAATGAGTGTGGAAGATTGAATTAATCTTAACAGTAATTCAGCCAAGTTTTTTTGTTGCTCTGTTTACCTTTAGTTCACCACAAATTTCACATTTCTTCGATGATGCCTGGTGTTTATTATGGGGGTTCTGAATGCTGAAGAGTTTTTGCCAACATTTGTGCTCTGCCCTCACCTTTCAGCTATTACTATACATTTCTGCTGCAGAGGTAGTGTCTTTCTGTGATTCTGGCCATCTCTGAAAGCAAACATTGCTTGCTGCTTGATGCTTGCCAGAGTGATGATGAGAAACAGAGGCAATTTTGTCCTGGTCCAGCCTGGGTCTCAAGTATGCTCTGTTTTCCTGAGCTTTGGAAGTGGAATTCTCTCAGCATTCTTCTCACTTTATGCCCATGACAGAAAGCCAACTTCTGCCTTGTCTCTGCAGTGGATCTTGTCCAGGAGAGCTTATTATTTTCTCCTCCTCTCAGTGCTATAAAGACCTCAAATGATATTATTACAGGATTCTGGCTTAGTATATTTTCCTGTGATTTTAGTAAAAAAGTTAGAGTTTCCCATTGGTAATTGGTTCCCTTTTATACTACATGCTATTCAGATAAATCTTCATTCAGTTCTCTTTACTTTTAGGTCCTTTGGAAATCACATTAGGTGAAACTGTTCAGAAATATAAAGAGCCAAACAATTCAAATCAAACGCATATTTCTCTTGCTATATTATCATTGACAACCAGCATTTGCCTTTTATTTCTTCCTAGTTGTAGTTTTATAATATCTCTGAAATAAATTTTCTAGATCCTGGACATTCTTACATTTTCACTGGAGATTTACTTTACTTAATTGAATTCCACTCCATCTGACAATGGTTAATTATTAGAACAGTCATTGTGACAACCAAGTCCCTGGAGTATTACTGATGTTTTCCAAATCACATATGTGAGTGGCTTATTCTTTGTGTGGCAAAAGAGGTCAATCAGGCAAAAGAATGTAGGTCGATAGTTTAGAAATTATATATGAGAAAAAGAAATCTATACACAACTACAATTCAAGGTCTTCCTGTCCAGTGTGCTAGTCTAATCAATCATTCCTGTTGAATTCACATAGTATACTTATCTCTTGTGGTAAAGAGTTGAAAGCCAAGATTAATGAAGTCAATAGGGTAGCTTTTGCAGATGATGGTAACAAGATATCCTTGGAGAATCTTTTCAGTGTTATCTAAAGTCATCTAATAGATTGACATAAAAGTACTTAATTTTCTAATTTGGGTATAAATGTTAAAATTATATAAATCACCCAGACAAATTATGTCTAGTGTTATTTGTTCTTTAGTTAACTGATTCATTAATTTATACATAATTCATTTTTTTCTGACACCACTGTATTGGCCATAACAAATTCAATGGACTTTTTCCTGGCCATTTTTATAATCTTTCACTGCAATTTGTCCCATCTTGTTTGAAACAAAAATTTTAGATGACATTAAATTCTAAGATAGTGAGTAGGAAGTTACAATTATGATTAAGATACTTATGTTATTGTAATTTTGGCTGTTCTGATTTATTTAAAGAGTGTTGATAATAAGGATATCACCTTATAATCAATATGACTGCAATTTGAGAAATAAAAAGAAAAATTTAACTAAAACAAAACCTCTGTTTCTTCTCTTTCATATGCTTCTGCAAGACCAGCTGTAACATACATACAATATAAGAAAGAAAGTTATATAGATGATATTTTTAAAGCATTTTTTGGTACACCACAACCTGGGAGGGCAAAAGTTCAACTTCTAGCATGCATGGCATGTAAACTATACCATCTATCTTTCTACCCTCCAAACAGAAAGGGCCCTTTTAGAACTCTCTACCTACTTATATGCCACTTACATTCCCTGGAATATTCTTCCTATGGCTGCCCACTACTCAGCCTTAACGTCAGTATGACTGTCACTTTGTATTCCTGCCTTTTATTTTTTAGCAATACTAAATGTATTCTTCCAGTACATTATATATTCTACTGTGCTATAATTTTCTTTTTATATTTCTATTTTGTAGAAGTTTTACTTCCTATTTCTCCTCTACTAGATTGACTAGTAGAAGAGAACTATATTGTTATTTTTATATTCTCAGTGTTCTAGGATATTTTCTCATCTAATGTGTATTCACTGAGTAATAAATGGAAGGAATTACATATTTGATGATGGATTGACTAACTTAATAAATTAAAAAATGAATTTGCATTATTAATAATGAGTTGATTTAAAGAGAAAGTTGGACAAGATCAGCACAGTGACATTTCTGCTTGGGAATGAAAAGCTTACCATATATTGTGTTTTGGCAGTGACCCTATTACTTATCTGTAGAGTATTCTTTTAAAAAACTTAAGAAAAAGGAAAGGT
Organism: Homo sapiens; assembly: GCF_000001405.40. Lineage (NCBI taxonomy): Eukaryota > Metazoa > Chordata > Mammalia > Primates > Hominidae > Homo > Homo sapiens. The sequence continues at coordinate 106,031,339 of NC_000010.11, read as the reverse complement.
ATACACCAAAGACATTGTCATGTCCCCCATCCCAATGCAGAGACCATCTTTATTTTGTAAAGTTCACGTATTTTTATCATAATTGTGTTATTATTATTAAATAGCATATAATTAATACTATGTATTATGCTATGTGTTTTGAAGCAGTTAATTTTTATAGCAACTTATGATAAGAGTTCTATTAACCTGACAAGTGCTAAAGAGTTAATAAGTGTCAGAGCCCAGGTAACTCATGCTGGTGGTTCTTAAGTCTAGCTGCCTCTACTGATAACCTCATTGGAGTACTAGAGTGGCTTAGATTCAGAGATGCTGGCTCATGCTAACAAAACCAAAAACAAATCAACATGTCAAACCAGAGTGAAAGTTAGCTAATTTTCCATGAGATATGCAATATTCTGCATGAATCAACAATAATGTCAGCTTAACAAGGACTGTCCTCCTGTAAGCTAGTTACATAAAAGCCAAAGTAGTATCAAAAGTGTTCTTGGTGATCAAAATTAAATAAAGGAAAAATAGAGCTATAATATGCACTGTATAATTAATGGCATTGGATTCTAATGGGCTTGACAGGCAGTCCACCTAATAACTTCAGTCTGATAAGGGCATCCTCTCTCACTGGCCAGTTTGAATATTGCCAATGCTTTACTTTGTCACTCACTTCTATATTTATCCCTTCCATGATGATCTACTAGCCTTATGGTTGATACAGTCCTTCTTCTGCTATGATACTATCTTCAGTTTATTCTCACATTTTGTTGGCCAGGAATCTCCTTAAGGCAGTCAATCCTGAATATCTCTATTGTAAACAATTACAACATGACTTGGCATTTATCATAGTTACAAAATATTTTGAATGAAATATTAGGTTGGTGCAAAAGTAATTATGGTTTTTGCCATTTAAAAGTAATGGCAGAAACCACAATTACTTTCGTACCAACATAAATATTTTTGTTTAAAAATTAATTTTCACAAAAACCCTTGAGATAGGTACTTTTTGTTCATCCCTGTTTTACATAAAGGAAACAAAGTCTTGAAGAATTTGCATAACCTCCACACGAACATCAAGTATATAGAGGAGTCAGGATAAGAATCCGGCTCTCTCAGTTTTCAGAACCTGGGATCTTAACATTTATGTAATTACTAGTTGTTCTCATTACTTAACTCTCAGAGGGTAAGTTTATTATTTTTTCTATATTCCTAGGACATGTCATTGTCACCACTACATGGGTCTTACAGCAGCTATTATTGGCTCCTTTTAACAAATGAGGAAAGTGATGCCCAGGGAGATTAGGCGAATTGCACAAAGTCACATGGCCAGGAAGTGGCACAACAGCTTTTAGAATCCAGACTTTCTTGGCTTTAACTTCTTTGACCTTTTTACATTATCATTCTGCTGAAAAGTTTGCCTATCTACTCAAATTAACCAGGAAAATGGAGGTGATTTTAGACCACAGTTGGAAAGATGTTGTTTTCCAGTAGCTTGGTCATGTGCAGGGGTTACGCTATCCTAGGACGCTCAGCAATAGGTATTTTGACACCATGTGACCTGGATTTTTTACTCACCTTAGATACTGACATTTAAGCACTTAAAATCCTTCAGGAAAAAGTAAATCCTTCCAGAGAAATAAAGCAACAGTTTTTCATGTTAGTATTAAACAGAGCAGACTGGAAAAAAAAATCTATAAAACACCATACAATATGTAAATATACTGTTATATAGAAATATAACCAATATTGAAATAGAAAGAAGATACTCTTTAGTCCTTCCCATGGAATTCCACATTCCTCCGCACTCATGACAGATATCTATGGGGTTTTCCCTCTTCATAACATCATATACATGAATTAGGTTATGTTTCTTACAAGACCAAATTATTTACAACTAAATGTTCTCAAATATTTAAGATCCATAGATGATTTCATTGGTTGAAAAGTATAAACAAGCCTGTTTTCCTGCATTATTTTTTCACTGAGCTTTCAAATGACAAAATGTTTGAGAGAAAAGTCTTGCTACTTTGGACTGAACAGTGGAGTGGCAGGGGGAAAACACATTACTTAGAGAGTTAAGAGTCTTAATTTTCATTCTCATTAACAAGAGTGTATATAGCTAACAAAACTAACACCAACACAGTTACCAGCCACAGAACAGTTATATGTTTTTAAGTTCCATTTATATATCAGAGAGTTATCTTTCATCTTTACAGCAGGCACATAGGCAGTTGTCTTAGTTCAGGCTGCTATAAAAAAATACCATAAACTGGGTGACTTATAAACAACAGATATTTATTTCTCATAGTCCTGCAGGCTGGAAGTCTGAGATCAAAGTTCCAGCTTGGTCCAGTTCTGGTGAGGACCTTCTTCCAGATTTCAGACTGCTGACTTATCATTGCATTCTCACATGGCAGAAATAAATCAAAAGAGCTCTCTGGGTTCCTTTCTATAAGGGCCCTAACGTCATTCATGAAGACTTCACCCACATGACCTTATTATCCCTCAAAGGTGCCACCTCCTAATACTATCACCTTGTGAATCAGGATTCCAACAATGAATTTTGGAGGAACACAAACATTCAGTCCATTGCAGGAGCTATTTTAGTTCCATTTGTAAGGTGAGGAGGGAAAAAAAAGACTGACCCATAATCTTGAGTAACTTTCTCAAAATCATAGTTAGTGTATCAAGCATGGTTCCACTAGGAAAACAAAAACAGGTTACTCAACACAAGGAGTGGATCACACAGGTAGCAAAAAGACAGAAAGAAGGCAATGAATCAGCCCAGAGATTCAGGGCATCAGGAAGCTACCCTAGATTGGAGGGATGAAAGAAGGAGGCAGTGTCATACTCAAGTAACTGAGTGGAGGCTGTAAAATGCAGAAAGCTTGACTGTCAGAAGCTGGAGCCAAATGGGTGCAGCTGCTGTTTGACATGTTGTCAAAAGTGAAGTGTGGGGAGTATTTACTTTTGCTCTTAGGGAAAGTAGACCGAACAGTACATGGGCTGATTATGATTTTGATTAGCTTTAAGTATGCTCTTTCCAGGTCATCATGCTAGTTTTATGTAGTGTCAAAGCACTTGCAATATGATTTGGGGCAAATAACTTAAGTCTTTGGGCCTTTAGTTCTTTGTTTTGAAGAACTTTTGTGAACCTAATTGGTGACAGTACTGGTCTAGGACTCAGATCTCCTGAAATTGTCAGTGTAGGGTCTTCTTGCTGCATTTATCTATCCAGCTTTATAACCTTTAGATGAATAAGGTTTTGTATTTTAATTGAAATAATTTTCTTCCCATTGCGTTAGTTTTCTGATTGAACAGTATCAACTATTGGATGGTAGATTTGAGCAAAATGTGGAAAAAACTCAACTACAAGTTGAGAGTTGAAGGTTTTATAATGGCTTGTTCATCTTAACAGTCTGCTGGGTCTGTTCAGTCAGAGATATATCCCCAAGTAAAATGCCTGTGTCATTAGGATCACATTTACCAGGGACTGAGCTTAAGAAGTAGTGTGGTGACAGCCCAGCTCATTGATATGGTTGGCTGTGTCTTCACCCAAATCTCATCTTGAATTGTAGCTCCCATAATTCCCATCAGTTGTGGGAGGGACCCCAGGAAAGATAACAGAACCACTGGGGTGGTTTCCCCCTTACTGTTCACATGGTAGTGAATAAGTCTCATGAAATCTGATGGTTTTATCAGGGAAAATCCTTTTTGCTTGGTTCTCATTCTTTCTTGCCACCACCATATAAGAAGTACCTTTTGCCTTCAGGCACGATTGTGAGGCCTCCCCAGCCATGTAGAACTGTAAGACCATTAAACCTCCTTTTCTTTATAAATTACCCAGTCTTGGGTATGTTTTTATCAGCAGTGTGAGAATGGACTAATGCACTCATGAAAGTGATAAAGGCCATGAGAACTTTGGTAACTGGGCAAGCAATCAAAACATAAAGTAGTATTCTAGGACAAGCAAGAGCTAGGTAATCTGCTAGAAATTCTTTCAAATTCTTTCCAAAAAATTTGTTGAATTATAGCTAATCAGCAACTTTAGGAGTGTCATTCATGGGCAGGCAGAATCCAGGCATGTTTTACTTTTTACAAGAATCAAAGAGGAACCAACAGTAGATGACTGTCTGCCAGCACTGGCTCAAAAGAAACCCTTGATCACTAAGTCAATTTGAATACCAGGGAACAGGGGAATTAGGAGATTAGAGAACCAATCTAATCCTAATCTTTACTCTGCACCATTTCTTCACTATGGGGAGATGACCAGCAACAGCTTTTTGACAAGAGACTTGCTGAAAATGTAACCATGGCAAGCAGAGTTGCACAAACTAGACAACAGAAAATTGATATCAAGGAGGAGAATATCAATTGCAAGGCTATCCATTCCAATCTGAATCCACAGACACCTTCCTTTTACAAGCACACTGGGAAAACCAACTGTCTCAAAGAGCATATCAGACTAAGCCCCAGAATATTTTTCTCCTCTTGGGGAAGAAAATGGGATATGGAATTAGGAGAACTCAGAGGGAGAGAAGAAAATTACACAATTTAATCATCTTTGGTAAGTTATTAATGCATCAGTACATAGAAAAGATAGGGCATTGATGAGAAATGATAATATCAAAAGATATAAGGATGAACAATGTGCTGAATTCATTTGAAGGTCTATCAGCAATATACATCGTCATTGATGCATATCTAATAAAGAATATATAAAGTAGTCTTGATAATTAACTACAAAGTTTTACCATAATAACATAATGCCTCATTATGTGACTCCCATTTTTCTCTGGATTTGTAGTTAGAAAGATCTGACCTAAGGCAATTTGGAGACTTTTACTCTATAGTAGGTAGAGGAGTGTGAAGTGGCTATTTCTTCTAGCATCTTTACATGGATATGGCCAAAGATTCTGCACTTAACTATGGGGTTTAGTTTTCTTTATAGGGTCTGAAATTGGCTGTATACTTTCTCTTCTTTTGCTAAAAGGGCAATTAGACTAAAAGATAACTAGCTCTTGAGAACAGCGTTAATATCAATGTACTTTATAGGCCATTTACTCCCTATAACTCTCTTTCCAATTTTTATTTGATACCAGATGCATAAACTATGAACAGCTTGTTTGGAATTCTTAGAGCTAAGGGAATTGAGGAAACTATTGGTAAAAAGTATTATTTAAGGTAGAAAAAAGTCACTGATTAAAGGGAAGACTTGTTAATATCATGTCAAAATAAGTCAATTCCACTAAACATTTTGGCTCTACATTTTAATTAGAAAGGCTGCTTATCTAGAAGTGTATAGACTTTTGAAATCAATGTTTTTTATGTCCTGGATTTTCTAAGATATTAAACAATTCTATTTCCAGAAAGTTAGAACCCTAAAGGACCTTGGGAATTCAGTTCTGTTCCATCATTTTCTGATAAGGAGAAGGAAGGATGCTCCTCCAAACTTGTTTAACAATTAAGAGTCAAAACAATGTCCATATGCCTATGAGCTTTGAAATGTTGTTCCAGCAGAAATTTCATTACTGATAGTGCCTACAATTTTCAGAAAGACTAATAGGAAAGAATAGAAACCAGTAAATTCCACTAGAATACAAAAAAAATTGGACAGGCCTTATGGAGAGGTTAGTGATGACTCAGACAGATGGTACACAGAAATAATAATTGGTCAGTCAGAATGAACAAGGAATTGCCATATTCTGCCTCCCTCTGTCTACTGGGATACTGCCTGTTTGCCTTCATGTTCTTTCAGCTATGACCTCAAACTTCTCTCTCTGATCTCCAGTGTTCCTAATGACTGACTTTCCAGACCCAATTTGTATAATCCTAAGCCCAGATCCCTTCAGTTGATAGTTTGGTCAAGGTAAAAAAAAAAAAAAAAATTTGAAAAAAAAAAAAAAAAAACAACCCTGTTAATATTTAACTAATTCCTAGGATTAACAGGCAGTTACTGTCCTACAGTCAATTGTCCTCTTCCTAGGCTAATCAAACTCTTCACACTTATGCATGGCCTGTGAAGAATTATGTAATATACAGTTGTCCCTTAAACAACACAGAAATTAGCAGGGACTGACTTCTCTGTATTTTTTAATCCATATATAGCTTTTGACTCCCCAGGAATTTAAGTACTAATAGCCTAGAGTTGGTTGGAAGCCTTACCAATAACATGAACAGCCAGTTAACACATATTGTACATGTTATATATATTATATATAGTAGTTTTATAATAAAGTAGGCTAGAGAAAAAAATGTTAAGAAAGTCACAAGGAAGAGAAAATGTATTTACTATTTATTAAGTGGAAATGGATCATCGTAAAGGACTTCACCTGTGGTCTCCATGTTGAGTAGACTGAGGAGGAGGAGGAAATGGAGGGGTTAGTCTTGCTATCTCAGGGCTGGCAGAGGTGGAAGAAAATCTGAGTGTAAGTAGACCTTTGCAATTCAAACCCATGTTTTTCAAGGGTCAGTTGTACTTAGCTTCTCTCTGAAACTTACCTTGAAAGAAGAATTTCTTTTTGTAGGCAAAAAACAGAGTTGGGATTTGGAAATGCTGAATGTCCAGAATAATGTTCAACGCCTGGTCCATTCTAATCCTAAATAGGCAACAGTCAGATGAACTGCGTAGCTCCATTCATTATCCTGCCTGCTGAGCCTCAGCAATCCCAGATTGATTGGTATCTAACAAATAAAGATCCTCTCTTCCTTTCTGATAACAGCTAACTATTATGTTTATACTTCCAAATGGAAATGATATTTCAGCTAGCCAAACGTGAAGTTTACCCCAAAGCAAACAGGCAGTTAGCTAGGCAATTGCTTCATTTTCAAAAGTTCTACATTAAATTCAAATGTTATTCGAGGTTCACTGCCATTCAGATTGACATTTAGAAAGAAAATATGCATTCTTTCCTAACCTTTAGAAACAACATAGGATTTAGACATTTCAATCTTGTTTCGTTCTCCTTTACTTGTGTTTCTTATCCATTTATTCAGTTCCCAAACAATTATTTCTTAACCTTTGATAGAAAGTGATGAGCTGCTCTGAGAACAGCAACTATTAGAGACACTTCAGTATTGCAATACAGCTGCTGAGAACACTTTATCTCATTTTCTCTGTGATTTTATTTAGCCTAGGTTTTGAAAATCAATTAAAATGGAGAACAAAATAATATGTTTATTTTTCCTTTGGAGGGCAAGGTTCAACCTTCTCTTAAACCAAACAGAAATAGTTTCTATCTGAGTAAAGAAAAATAAAGCTAAGATTTTTAACATGTGTATTATCGAATCACTCTCCCCAGACTTTAACCAAGGATAAAATCAGAGCTGCTTCTTTTACTTGAAATGTTAAGAGTTGGACATAATATTTTCCAAGCAAAAAGGTAAGGCCACAAAATTAATGGTGGAGAACGTTCACCAAGCATTTCTTCCAGAATGAACATGGAGCACTATGGGGTCAGGAGTCAGGCCTCATGTGAAGTTCATTCATGGATTATTCATGCACAAGAAAGAACATTGAAATTTGATGGCCAAGGAAATTAAAAAGAGAAAGGAGCATTTGCTCTTTAAGAGCTAGTTATAAGATACTTGTGCAACTACAGAGCTGAGGCAGACATGTGTATTGACCAAAAATCGTTTTAAAATGATTTTAAAGCATAAAGGCATATGATTTAAAGGCACAATTTTAAGTTGCAGAGTAGATTGATGTGAAAGTTCTCCAGAGGTTATCCTATAGACCAATTTCTCTGACCACATTTATGAACAGAAAGTAGCTATATTGACACAATGTTTGAATAGAAAGCAGAAGTTTGGGGAACCTAAGTTATGAGCCTTATCCTGTCATTCACTGAGTGTGAGCCCTTGAGCCCTTGCGAAAATAATACATTTAAAATGTGGTTACACCTAATCCTTCATAGAATCAGCAAGATGGCTGGATCTAGTTACCTAGTGCTTGCCCTATCCTCACAAAAGCGGACAGAAACAAAAAATAATTATATTTTGAGTAGAGTGACTGCAGAAGTACACTGAAGAACACCATGGAAGCAGCAAAATTCATGTGAGTTGTGGCAGTTCAGGATAGCACCATAGTTCGGGTATCTAGGTGTTGTTCTGTCTCTGCTATACAGTCTTGTTGGTAGGGACTGACTTGGATTCGGGGGGGACTTCTTTATACAAGGCAAAGGTAATCTGGATATTCCAAGTGGTTTCCACTTCCACCACAAACACCAGCAATTGTGGCTGCAAGAGGATCCCTGTCGGGCCTCTGAGCCCAAGCTAAGCCATCGCATCCCCTGTGACCTGCACATATATGCCCAGATGGCCTGAAGTAACTGAAGAATCACAAAAGAAGTGAAAATGGCCTGTTCCTTGCCTTAACTGATGACATTCCACCACAAAAGAAGTGAAAATGGCCAGTCCTTGCCTTAAGTGATGACATTATCTTGTGAAATTCCTTCTCCTGGCTCATCCTGGCTCAAAAGCTCCCCTACTGAGCACCTTGTGACCCCCACACCTGCCCACCAGAGAACAACCCCCCTTTGACTGTAATTTTGCTTTACCTACCCAAATCTTATAAAACGGCCCTACCTTTATCTCCCTTCGCTGACTCTCTTTTCGGACTCAGCCCGCCTGCACCCAGATGATTAAAAAGCTTTATTGCTCACACAAAGCCTGTTTGGTGGTCTCTTCACAGGGACACGAGTGAAATATGGTGTCGTGACTTGGATCGGGGGACCTCCCTTGGGAGATCAATCCCGTCCTCCCGCTCTTTGCTCCGTGAGAAAGATCCACCTACGACCTCAGGTCCTCAGACCAACCAGCCCAAGGAACATCTCACCAATTTTAAATCCAGTAAGCGGCCTCTTTTTACTCTCTTCTCCAACCTTTCTCACTATCCTTCAACCACTTTCTCCTTTCAATCTTGGTGCCACACTTCAATTTCTCCCTTCTCTTAATTTCAGTTCCTTTCCTTTTCTGGTAGAGATGAAGGAGACGTGTTTTATGCGTGGACCCAAAACTCCAGCGCTGGTCACAGACTCAGGAAGACAGTCTTCCCTTAGTGTTTAATCACGTGGGGCGCCTGCCTGATTACTCACCCACGTTTCAGAGGTGTCTGACCACGTGGGGATGCCTGCCTTGGTCCTTCACCCTTAGCGGCAAGTACCGCTTTTCTGGGGGATAAGAACCCCCCACCCCCACCCCTTTTCTCTATGTCTCTACTCTCTCTTTTTTCTGGGCTTACCTCCTTCACTATGGGCAACCTTCCAGCCTCCATTCCTCCCTCTTCTCCCTTAGCCTGTGTTCTCAAGAACTTAAAACCTCTTCAACTCATACCTGACCTAAACACCTTATTTTCTTCTGCAACACCGCTTGGCCCCAATACAAACTTGACAATGGCTCTAAATGGCCAGAAAATGGCACTTCCAATTTCTCCATCCTACAAGACCTAAATAATTTTTGTTGAAAAATGGGCAAATGGTCTGAGGTGCCTTACATCCAGGCATTTTTCACACTTCGTTCTCTCCCTAGTCCCTGTTCCCAACGCGATTCCTTCCAAATCCACCTTCTTTCCCTCCTGCCTGTCCCCAGTCCCAACCCCAAGTGTCACTGAGTCTTTCCAGTTTTCCTTTTCTACAGACCCATCTGACTTCTCCCCTCCTCCCCAGGCTGCTGGTCGCCAGGCCGAGCTAAGTCCCAATTCTTCCTCAGCCTCCGTTCCTCCACCCTATAATCCTTCTATCACCTCCCCTCCTCACACCGGGTCCGGCTTACAGTTTAGTTCCACAACTAGCTCTTCCCCACCTGCGCAACAATTTCCTCTTAGAGAAGTGGCTGGAGCTGAAGGCAAAGTCAGGGTACATGTACCTTTTTCTCTATCAGAACTCTTTCAAATCAGTTAGTGTTTAGGCTCTTTTTCATCAAATATGAAAAACCCAGCCCAGTTCATGGCTCATTTGGCAGCAACCCTGAGACGCTTTACAGCCCTAGACCCTAAAAGGTCAAAAGGCCGTCTTATTCTCAATATACATTTTATTACCCAATCCGCTCCCGACTTTAAATAAAGCTCCAAAATATAAATTCCAGCCCTCAAACCCCACAGCAAGACTTAATTAACATTGCCTTCAAGGTGTACAATAATAGAAAAAAGTTGCAATTCCTTACCTCCAGTGTGAGACAAACTCCAGCCACATCTCCAGCACACAAGAACTTCCAAACGCCTGAACCGCAGCTGCCAGGCATTCCTCCAGAACCTCCTCCCCCAGGAGCTTGCTACAAGCGCCAGAAATCTGGCCACCAGGCCAAGGAATGTCCGCAGCCTGGGATTCCTCCTAAGCCGCGTCCCATCTGTGAAGGACCCCCACTGAAAATTGGACTGTTCAACTCACCTGGCAGCCACTCCCAGAGCCCCTGGAACTCTGGCCCAAGGCTCTCTGACTCCTTCCCAGATCTTCTCGGCTTAGCGGCTGAAGGCTGACACTGCAAGATCGCCTCGGAAGCTCCCTAAACCATCACAGACGCCGAGCTTCTGGTAACTCTCACAGTGGAATGTAAGTCTGTCCCCTTCTTAATCAATACGGAGGCTACCCACTCCACATTACCTTCTTTTCAAGGGCCTGTTTCCCCCTTGCCTCCATAATTGTTGTGGGTATTGACGGCCAGGCTTCTAAACCTCTTAAAACTCCCCAACTCTGGTGCCAACTTAGACAATAGTCTTTTAAGCACTCCTTTTTAGTTATCCCCACCTGCCTTTATTAGGCCCTTATTAGGCCGAGACGCTTTAACTAAATTATCTGCTTCCCTGACTATTCCTGGGCTACAGCCACTCCTCATTGCCGCCTTTTCCTCCAGTTCAAAGCCTCCTTCACATCCTCCCCTTGTATCTCCCCACCTTAACCCACAAGTATAAGACACCTCTACTCCCTCCTTAGTGACTGATCATGCACCCCTTACCATCCCATTAAAACCTAATCACTCTTACCCTGCTCAATGCCAATATCCCATCCCACAGGTTGCCTTAAAGGGATTAAAGTCTGTTATCACTTGCCTGCTACAGCATGGTCTTTAAAGGCTATAAACTCCCCTTACAATTCCCCCATTTTACCTGTCCTAAAACCAGACAAGGCTTACAGATTAGTTCAGGATCTGCACCTTATGAACCAAATTGTTTTGCCTATCTACCCTGTGGTGCCAAACTCATATACTCTCCTATCCTCAATACCTCCCTCTGCACACCATTATTCTGCTCTAGATCTCAAACATGCTTTCTTTACTATTCCTTTGCACCCTTCATCCCAGCCTCTGTTCACTTTCACCTGGACTGACCCTGACACCCACCAGGTTCAGCAAATTACCTAGGCAAGGCTTCAGAGACAGCCCCCATTACTTCAGTCAAGCCCAAATTTCTTCATCTGTTACCTATCTCGGCATAATTCTCATAAAAACACACGTGCTCTCCCTGCTGATCGTGTCTGGCTAATCTCCCAAACCCCAATCCCTCCTACAAAACAACAACTCCTTTCCTTCCTAGGCATGGTTAGTGCGGTCAGAATTCTTACACAAGAGCCGGGACTGCATCCTGTAGCCTTTCTGTCCAAACTACTGGACCTTACTCTTTTAGCCTAGCCCTCATGTCTGCCTGCAGCAGCTGCCGCTGCCTTAATACTTTTAAAGGCCCTAAAAATCACAAACTGCTCAACTCACTCTCTACAGTTCTCATAACTTCCAAAATCTATTTTCTTCCTCACACCTGACACATATACTTTCTGCTCCCCAGCTCCTTCAGCTGTACTCACTCTTTGTTGAGTCTCCCACAATTATCATTGTTTCTGGCCCAGACTTCAATCGGGCCTCCCACAGTATTCTGGATACCACACCTGACCCCCATGACTGTATCTCTCTGATCCACCTGACATTCACCCCATTTCCCCATATTTCCTTCTTTCCTGTTCCTCACCCTGAGCACACTTGGTTTATTGATACTAGTTCCACCAGGCCTAATTGCCACACACCAGCAAAGGCAGGCTATGCTATAGTACAAGCCACCAGCCCGCCTCTTAGAACCTCTCATTTCCTTTCCATCATGGAAATCTATCCTCAAGGAAATAGCTTCTCAGTGTTCCATCTGCTATTCTACCACTCCTCAGGGATTATTCAGGCCCCCTCCCTTCCCTACACATCAAGCTGGAGGATTTGCCCTCGCCCAGGACTGGCAACTCTTAACTCCCTCTTAGAGTGGATAGATGATCTTTGCTGGCAGGGGACCCTCCAATACTTTCACCCTGATGAAGTTCTTTTGTTTACTTTTATACTCACTGTTATTCTCATTCCCATTCTTATGCCACCCTCTACCTCTCCCCAGCTATCTCCACCACACTGTCAACTTTACTCAATCTCTCCTAGCCGTTTCTAATCCCTTCTTAGCAAACTGCTGGCTTTGCATTTCCCTTTCTTCCAGTGCCTACACAGCTGTCCCCACCTTACATGCAGACTAGGCAACATCTCCTGTCTCCCTACATCTCCAAACTTCCTTTAACAGCCCTCATTTTACCCTCCTGAAGAACTCATTTACTTTCTAGACAGGTCCAGCAAGACCTCTCCAGACATTTCACATCAGCAAGCTGCCGCCCTCCTCCGCACTTACTTAAAAAGCCTTTCTCCTTATATCAACCCTACTCTCCTCATATTTGGACCTCTCACAACACAAACTACTATTCCTATGGCTGCTCCTGTATGTATCTCTCGGCAAAGACCCACTGGAATTCCCCTAGGTAACCTTTCACCTTCTCGATGTTCCTTTACTCTTCATCTCCAAAGCCCAACTACACACATCACTGAAACAATTGGAGCCTTCCAGCTCCATATTACAGACAAGCCGTCTATCAATACTGGCAAACTTAAAAACATTAGCAGTAATTATTGCTTAAGAAGACACTTACCCTGTATTTCACTCCATCCTTGGCTACCTTCCCCTTGCTCATCAGACTCTCCTCCCAGACCCTCTTCTTGTTTACTTATACCCAGCCCCGAAAATAACAGTGAAAGGTTGCTCATAGATACTCAACGTTTTCTCATACACCATGAAAATCGAACCTCCTCCTCTACGCAGTTACCCCATCTGTCCCCATTACAACCTCTGATGGCTGCCGCCCTAACTGGATCCCTAGAAGTCTGGGTAAAAGACACCCCTTTCAGCACTCCCTCTCATCTTTTTACTTTGCATCTCCAGTTTTGCCTCGCACAAGGCCTCTTCTTCCTCTGTGGATCCTCTACCTACATGTGTCTACCTGTTAATTGGACAGGCACATGCACACTAGTTTTCCTTACTCCCAAAATTCAATTTGCAAATGGGACTAAAGAGCTCCCTGTTCTCCTCATGACACCGACACGACAAAGAAGAGTTTTTCCACTAATTCCCTTGCTTGTCAGTTTAGGACTTTCTGCCTCTACTATTGTTCTCAGTACTGGAATAGCAGGCATTTCAACCTGTTATGACCTTCCATAGCCTCTCTAATGACTTCTCTGCTAGCATCACAGACATATGACAAACTTTATCAGTCCTCCAGGCCCAAGTTGACTCTTTAGCTGCAGTTGTCCCCCAAAACCGCTGAGGCCCTGACTTACTCACTGCTGAAAAAGGAGGACTCTGTGTATTCTTAAATGAAGAGTGTTGTTTTTACCTAAATCAATCTGGCCTGGTGTATAACAACATAAAAAAACTCAAGGATAGAGCCCAAAAACTTGCCAACCAAGCAAGTAATTACATTGAACCCGCTTGGGCACTCTCTAATTGGATGTCCTGGGTCCTCCCAATTCTTAGTCCTTTAATACCTATTTTTCTCCTTCTTTTATTTGGACCTTGTATCTTGCGTTTAGTTTCTCAATTCATCCAAAACCGTACCCCGGCCATTATCAATCATTCTATACGAGAAATGTTTCTTCTAACAACCCCACAACATCAACCCTTACCACAAAATCTTCCTTCAACTTAATCTCTCCCACTCTAGGTTCCCACACCGCCCCTAATCCCGCTCGAAGCGGCCCTGAGAAACATCGGCCATTATCTTTCCATGCCACCCCCCCCCAAAAAAAAAATTTTTTTTCGCTACCCCAACACTTCAATACTATTTTATGTTGTTTTTCTTATTAATATAAGAAGGCAGGAATGTCAGGCCTCTGAGCCCAAGCTAAGCCATCGCATCCCCTGTGACCTGCATATATATGCCCAGATGGCCTGAAGTAACTGAAGAATCACAAAAGAAGTGAAAATGGCCTGTTCCTTGCCTTAACTGATGACATTCCACCACAAAAGAAGTAAAAATGGCCGGTCCTTGCCTTAAGTGATGACATTATCTTGTGAAATTCCTTCTCCTGGCTCATCCTGGCTCAAAAGCTCCCCTACTGAGCACCTTGTGACCCCACTCCTGCCCACCAGAGAACAACCCCCCTTTGACTGTAATTTTGCTTTACCTACCCAAATCTTATAAAACAGCCCTACCCTTATCTCCCTTCACTGACTCTCTTTTCGGACTCAGCCCGCCTGCACCCAGGTGATTAAAAAGCTTTATTGCTCACACAAATCCTGTTTGGTGGTCTCTTCACATGGATGTGAGTGAAAATCCCCCAGTTTACACAGGCCCCAAGTCCAGTTTAGAAAGTAGGCAGGCATTTGCACAGCCACATTGTCTCAGAGTAAGACCACACATTGAGTACTTGATATCCTTTGGCTGTGTCCCCACCCATTTCTCATCTTCAACTGTAGTTCCCATAACCCCTATGTTTATGGGCAAGACCGGGTGGGAAGTAATTGAATCATGGGGGTGGTTTCCCTCCATGTTGTTCTCATGAAAGTGAATAAGTTCTCTTGAGATCTGATGGTTTTAAAAGGGATTTCCACCCCCCAACATCCCCCCCACTGCTCTGCACTTCTTTCTCCTGTGAAGAAGGACATGTTTGCTTCCCCTTCTGCCATGATTGTAAGTTTCCTGAGGCCTCTCCATCAATGTACAACTGTGAGTCAATTAAACATCTTTCCTTTATAAATTGACCAGTCTCAGGCAGTTCTTTATAGCAACGTGAAAATGGACTAATACAGCAAATTATTACTAGGGTAGTGGGGCGCTGCTATAAAGATACCTGAAAATGTGGAAGCAACTTTGGAACTGGGTAATAGGCAGAAGCTGGAACAGTTTGGAGGGCTCAGAAGAAGACAGGAAAATATGGGAAAGTTTGGAACTTCCTAGAGATTTGTTGAATGTCTTTGACCAAAATGCTGATAGTGATGTGGACAATGAAGTCCAGGCTGAGGTCGTCTCAGTGGAGATGGGGAACTCACTGGGAAATGGAGTAAAGGTCACTCTTGCTATGCAAAGAGACCGGTGGCATTTTGCCCCTGCCCTAGGGATCTGTAGAACTTTGAACTTGAGAGATGATTTAGGGTATCTGGCAGAAGAAATTTCTAAGCATTAAAGGATTCAAGAGGAAGCAAAGCATAAAAGTTTGGAAAATTTGCAGCCTGATGATGAAAAAAAAACATTTCCTGGGGAGAAATTCAAGCCAGCTGTAGAAACTTGCATAAGTAATGAAGAGTTGAATGCTAATCACCAAGACAATGGGGAAAATGTCTCCAGGGCATGTCGGACACCTTCACAGAAGCCCCTCCCATCACAGCCTGGAAGTCTAGGAGGGAAAAATAGTTCCATGGCTTGGGGCATGCTCCCCCCTGCTGCTCTGTACAGCCTTGGGATTTGGTTCCCTGAATCCCAGCTGTGGCTAAAAGAGGTCAAGGTACAGCTCAAGCCATTGCTTCAGAGGGTGCAAGGCCTCAAGCCTTTGTAGCTTACACGTGGTGTTGGCTGTGGGTACACAGAAGTCAAGAATTGAGGTTTGGGAACCTTCACCTAGATTTGAGGCCATATGGAAATGCCTGGATGTCCAGGCAGAAATTTGCTGCAGGAGCAGAGACCTTATGAATAACCTCTGCTAGGGCAGTGAGGAAGGGAAATGGGGGTTGGAGCACCCACACAGAGTACCCCCTTGGCACTGCCTAGTGGAGCTATGAGAAGAGGGTGACCATCCTCCAGACCCCAGAATGGTAGATCCATGACAGCTTGAACTATGTCCCTGGAAAAGCCACAGACACTCAATGCCAGCCTATGAAAGCATCCAGGAGTAGGGCTATACCCTGCAAAGCCACAGGGTCTGAGTTACCTAAGCCCATGGGAGCCCACCTCTTGTATCGGCATGACCTGGATGTGATTTATGGAGTCAAGGAGATCATTTTGGAACTTTAAGATTTAATGACTGCCCTATTGGATTATGGACTTGCATGGGGCCTGTAGCCCCTTTGTTTTAGCCAGTTTCTCCCATTTAGAATGGGTGTATTTACCCAATGCCTGTACCTCCATTTTATCTAGGAGCAATTAACTTACTTTTGATTTTACAGGCTCATCAGTGGAAGGGACTTGCCTTATCTCAGATGAAATTTTAGATTTGAACTTTTGGGTTAGTGCTAGAATGAATTAAGGATTTGGGGGACTGTTGGAAAGGCATGATTGTGTTTTGAAATGTGAGAACATAAGATTTGGGAGGGGTCAGAGGTGGGATGATACGGTTTGGCTGTGTCCCCACTTAAATCTCATCTTGAATTGTAGTTCTCATAATCCCCATGTGTCATGAGAGGGACCTGGTGGGAGGTAATTGAATAATGGGGACGGTTTCCCCTCATGCTGTTCTCATGATAGTGAGTGAATTCTCATGAGATCTGATGGTTTTATAAGGCGCTGTTTCCCCTTCACTCTGCACTTCTCTCTCCTGTTGCCATGTGAAGAATGTTTGCTTCCTTTTCCACCATGATTTTAAGTTTTCTGAGGCCTCCCCAGCAATACATAACTGCGAGTCTTGGTGGTATCTTGAGGGTTTGGTGGTATCTTGACAATGAACCCACCACTGGAGTGCATCTTGCCCTAGGGGACACTAGTGGCTGACAGTGCTTGTCCTTGAGGCCCCACTATCATTCCACTACATTCATACTGGTACCTGCAGTACCCTAACCCCGGCTGCCAGAGCCTAGGCAGATGGGATGACTGAGAACCTAGTATCTGAACTCACACAGCAAACCATCCACTCAAGAAACAGGTGAATCTGTACAATAGGGAAGGCACCAAACAGCTGGCCATACACATCACCCCTGGGCATCTGCAGATTGTGCCAAAAGACTTCCACTAAAGTTTAGAAATTCTTCTGCCTGATCTACCTTATTATCAAATTTGTTGACTGTATTTTTTATTTCGTTCATTGAATTATTTATTTCCAAGATTTCTGTTTAGTCCTGTTTTATGGTATCTTTCTCTTTATTGAATTTCACAATCAGATCAAGAATTGTCTTCCATATTTTATTGAATTGTCTACCTGTATTATCTTGTATTTCACTGAGTTTCCTTAAGAGCATTATTTTGAATTTCTTTTCAGGCATTTTATAAATATCTTTCACTTCAGGGTCTTTGATTAGAGACATAATCCTCTGAAGGTGTCATATTTCCTTGCTTTTTATGGTTTTTGGGTTCCTACATTAATATCTGTGCATCTAGTAGAAGAGTTACTTTTTAAAATTTTATGAATTATCTTTCATAGAGAAAGACTTTTTCTTGTAGAGAGGTCCTAGGTTGTCAAGTGGGTATCATGCATTGGCTGTAGTTCTGGGTAGATTCAGTGATGTGATCTTTATGCAGTTGCAGTTTCTTCAGCTATCATCCTCATCAGTGATGCCTGTGATTGCCTCAGTGGCCAAGGCTGCAGAAGTTTGTGATGGTGACAAAAGCTAAATAAAAAATAGAGAAAAATAAAGAAAGCCTACAAGACTTATGGTACACCATAAATCAAATAAATTTTCACATCATGAAAATTACATAAATATAAAAGAGGCAGGGAAAGGCATAGAAAACCTATTTAATTAAATAATAAGGGAAAGCTTCCCATGTCTGAGGACATATGTGAGTATCCAGATCCAAAAAGTTTCAATAGTCCCAAATATATTCAACCTAACAAGGTACTCTCCAAGCCACATGATAGTTAAAACTGTCAAAATTCAAAGACCATGATAATTCTAAAAACATCAAGAAAAAAATATCAAGTCATATGTTAAGGAATCCTCATTAGGCTAATAGTGGACTTCTCAGTAGAAACCTTACAGGCAAGAAAACAATAGGATAATATATTTAAAGGTCTGAGAGAAAAAAAATCTGCCATTCAAGACTACTGTACTGGCCGGGCACAGTGGCTCATGCCTGTAATCCCCACACTTTGGGAGGGCAAGGCAGGTGGATTACTTGAGGCCAGGAATTCAAGACCAGCCTGGCCAACATGGCGAAACCCCATCTCTATTAAAAGTACCAAAATTATCAGGGTATGGTGGTGTATGCCTGTAATCTTAGCTACTCAGGAGGCTGAGGCAGGAGAATTGCTTGAACCAGGGAGGTAGAGGTTACTGATTATGCCACTGCATTCTACGCTGGGTGATAGAGTGTGACTCTGTCTCAAAAATAAAGAAACAAAACAACAACAACAACAACAACAACAAACTACTACACCCAGCACAGCTATCTCCTTCAGAAATGAAGAAAAAATTAAGTCTTTCCCAGATAAGTACAACCTGAGAGAATTTATTACCACTAGACTGGCCTTAGAATAAATACTTAAGGAAGATCTACATCTGGAAAAGGAAAAAAAAAAAAAAAAACTATCATGAAAATTGACAAAAGAATAAAAATTACTGGTAGAGTAGTTACACAAATGAAAAATAGAAAGGAATCAAACTTTATCACTACAGAAAACCAGCAAACTGCAAGATAAACAATATGAGGGGAAGAAACAAATAATAGGCAGAGCAAATAGAAAACAATTTTTAAAATGACAGAAGTCAGTTCACACATAAAAATAACAATCTTGAATTTAAGTAATTTAAATTCCTAAATTGGAAGACATGGACTTGCTGAAAGGGAGGAAAAATAAGACCCACAGAAAACACACTCATCTGTAAAGAAAGATAAAAACTGAAAGTGAAGGAATGAAAAGATATACCATGTACACAGAAACAAAAAATAAGCAGGAATAGCTATAATTATAATTATTATTATTATTATGTCACATAAAATAGACTTTAAGTCAAGAAAATATAAAAAGGGACAAAGAAGGTCATTATACAACAATAAAGGGATAAATTCAGCAAGTTTTAGTTCTAAATATATATACATCCAATTCTTGAAAAATTGAAAACATACAGAAAATACTATTGGAGGTAAAGGGAGAGATAGACTATAATACAATAATAGTTGGGGACTTTAACATCCCACTTTCAGGATTGGACAGATCATCTAGACAATGCAATCAACAAAGAAACAGAATTTAAACTGCATTTTAGACTGAAGTAACCTAACAGACATTGATGTCATATTTCATCCAATGGCTTCAGAATACAAACTCTTATCATCAACACATAGAACGTTCTCCACAATAGGCCATATATTAGGGCACAAAAAAGTTTTATTAAATTTTAAAAATCAGGTCTGACCAGAAGGGCAGAGCAAGATAGCTGAATAGAAGCCTCCACCAATCATCCCCATCATAAGGACACCAATTTAACAACAATCTGCATACAAAAAAACCTTTTTAAGAAACAAAAATTAAGTGAGCACTCACAGTACCTGGTTTTAATTTCATATCGCTGCAAGAGGCATTGAAGAGGTAAAAAAGACAGTCTCGAATTGCTAATGCCACTCCTCCCCATCCTCAGGCAGCTGCTGCGTAGTGCAGAGAGAGAATCTATTTGCTTGGAAGAGGGAGAGTGCAGCAATTGTGAGACATTGCATTGAATTCAGTGTTGCTCTGTCACAGCAGAAAGCAAAACTGGTCTGAACTCAGCTGATATCCACCCATGGAGGGAGTATTTATTGCAGGCCTAGCCAGAAGGGAATTGCCCAACTCAGCAGTCAGAACTTGAGTTCTGATAAGCCTTTCCACTGTGGGCTAAAGCACTGTGGGTCCCTAAATAAACTTGAAAGGCAGTCTAGGCCAAAAGGACTGCAACTCCTAGGTGATTCCTAGTGCTGAACTGGGCTCAGAGTCAGTGGACTGCAGGGTCACACGATCTACTGAGACACCAGCCGGGACAGCTAAGGGGGTGCTTGCACCACCCTCCCCCAACCCCAGACTGCACAGCTTATGGCTCTAGAGAAGACCTCATCTTTCTACTTGAGAAGAGGAGAGGGAAGAGTAAATAAAATTTTGTCTTGCATCTTGGATACCAGCTCAGCCACAGTACAATAGGGCACCAGTAAGACTCTTGAGGCACTATTTCAGGCACTAGCTCTAATATATTTTTAGACAAACCCTGGGCCAAAAGGAAACCCACTACCTTGAAGGGAAGGACACAGTCCAGGAAGGATCTATCACATGCTGACTAAAGATCCCTTGTGGCCTAAATAAAAAGCAGTGATAACCAGGTTGTGTACTGTGGGCCTTGGTGAGACTCTGAGACTAGGTGGCTTCAGGTGAGACTCATCATATTCCTAGCTGTAATGGCTATGGGGATAAACTCCATTTTCTAGAGAAAAGCAGAAGGAAACTAAAGGGGACTTTGTCTTGTACTTTAGATACCAACTGGGCCACCAGGGATAGAACACCAAGCAGCCTCTTGAGGTCTCCAATTCTAGGCTTGCCTCTTGGATGGCCCATCCCTGGGCCAGAGGGGTGCCCACTGCCATGAAAAGTGAGTTTCAGCCCAGACAGTCTTCATGACAACTTGATGAAAGAGCCTTTGGATCTTAAGGGAAAATCGACAATAGCCTGGCAGTACTTCCTGTGAGTCTGTGATGGTGGTGACCATAGGGTAAGGCTCCTCTGCTTATGGAAAGGGGAGAAAAGAGTGGGAAGAACTGTATCTTGTGGTTTGAGTACCAGCTCAGCTGCAGTACAATAGAACACCAGGTAAATGTCTAAGGTTTTTTACTTTAGTTCCTTGTTCCTGGACAGCACCTCTGAACCTGCCTGAGACCTGGGGGAACTCACTACCCTGAAGGAAAGGACACAAGCCTGGCTGGCTTGGCCACCTGCTGATTGTAGAGCACCAGGGCCTTGAGGGGACATAGGCAGCAACCAGGTGGTTGTCACATCAGGCCTTGGGTGAGACCCAGTGTTGTGCTGGCTTCAGGTCTGACCCAGTGCAATCCCAATGGTGGTGGTCACAGGGGTGCTTATGTCACCCCACCCCCAGCTCAAGGCGGCTCAGAACAGAGAGAGAGAGATTTCATTTGTTTGGGAGAAAATAAGGGAAGAGAACAGAGTTTCTGCCTGGTAATCCAGATAAGTTTTGAGATCTTACCCAAGACCATCAAGGCGATACCTCTAGGGAGTCTGTAAGAACCACAGCTTTACTAGGCTTGCAGAAGCTCCCCTAATGCAGGCTTAGATTACAATACCCGAGTCCTTTCAATTACCTGAAAAGCCTTTTCAAGAAGGATGAGTACAAACAAGCCTACATGGTGAACACTACAATAAAACCTAATTATTCAATGCCAAGATACAGATGAACATCCTTAAGCATCAAAACTCTCCAGGAATGCATGACCTCAAAAAATGCACTGGGTCAGACATGAAGCCACCACAGCACTGGATCTCACTCAAGGAACTAGGGCTCAATATTGGAGAAACAGAGATATCTGACATTTCAGATAAAGAATTCAAAATTCTTTAGTTATTTTGAGGAAACTCAAAGAAATTCGAGATAACACAGAGAAACTGTCACAGCCCAGAGGACCCTATGGAGACAATTAAATGTATCCCAGATGAGACCTTACAACACAAAAAGGTATTAGGGGAAAACTAATAAAAAACAAATAGTTTGAGTTAATAACAATGGATCGATATTGGCTTATTATTTGGGACAAATGTATTGTAGTAATGAAAGACATTAATAGAGGAGAGTGGGTACAACATTTTTAGAAACTGTGTACTATCTTTGATACTTTTCTATATATTATTTGAAAAGAAAAAATGTATTTACGTATTTTAAAAAGTGGTGACACTTGTATTTTTTTAAGACTCCTCTCAGCTCTGATACCTTATGACACTGAAATTTTTACATGGATTTTCAGATAATTGTGAGCTTTACTAAGAAAGGTGTTTGGACATTAACAAGGAAGTTTCTGCAGATATATCATATATTTGCATCAAACAAGCAAATAAGTCATCTTGTTTCTTGAAAATATACTAAAGTAAATATATAACAAAATTTAGAAAGTTTTAAATAACCCTTAAAACAATCATTTTAAAACAGCATTTTACTTTCATTCTTGTGTGTAAATGTATTTTCATTGTAGCAATGCCATAGCATGTCCTCATGTTATGGCAAAAGAATCTTCCATATAACAATTTTAATGTTGACGAACCTCAATATACTGAAATTTAAGCTAATTCTAAAGTATTTCTTTTGTATGTTCCATCACAATAAACACTATAGTTAATATATACGTTTGTTTCTGTTAAATTATTTTCATGGGAGGGAAAACATTGGGTCAATGTATGGAACCAAATCTGATAATTTATTAACCATATTTCTACCTAGTTGTTAATTTTGTTAGTTCAGATTTAAGTGGTCAACAGAAATTTTAATGACTCTTGCTAATTTACCAGAAACTAGGTTGCATTTTTATTCACATTTTAACTTCAGAAAATGAAAATTTTCTTGAATGAACTTTGATTTGCATATATTTTTATGATTTGTTTATGCTTGACTAGCTCTTAAGGCAAAGATTGCAGTTGAACATTCAGCAATTTTTTTATATAGTTTAAAAAAATCATGGTCTTCAAGTACAAATATGTAAGAATGTATGATCCTCATTGATATATCAATTGTTTCCTCAAGAGAATACTGAATAAGTAACTTCCAAAATTCTCTTACTCTTTGGATGGATAAAAAAACCAAAAAACTATCCCAAATAGTTTTGCTCTCCTGGGCCCCCATCACTACTGCTATAGATGAATTTAGTAAGTAAGCTGTATGCAGGATTTTATCTTGAATTCAATTAAGAAACTCTATGTCAATGTAAAATTAATCCACACTTCCTCATTTTCTTCTTTCGTCTGTAAATAGAGATATCGAAATCTGGAAATTAGAGATCAAATAGATTTTTTTAAAGAATTAAATGATTTACAAATCCCTTTAAATCTTTTTATTTTAAATTAGATGCTGCTTATAGAAATTTACTTATATGTATTAAAGAGTATAAAACAAACTTCATATAAAAGGAACAACATCACACATTAGGTTTGACACTGTCTTTAGAGAGAGATGATTAAATAAAAATTATAAAAACATACATAAAGCTGCTGAGTTGATGATTTAACAGGCATGGGAGTCTGTCATCATTTTTCTTATCACCCAAATTATGTCTTTTGCTCATATTGGAAATACTTTAATTATCAAGGCTGACTTTGGGCTTCTATCCTTCAAAAACGAAGAGGGTTAAGAATAAGATTTGGGTCACTTATTGACACGATTTCACCTATAACTCTTTGAATTCTGAGCCGTGCTTAGCTCTCTCTAATGATGTGTTTGCATAATGTATCACTGTAGGTATCAAAATTTCTGCCATAGCCAGGGGATTCACTTTATGACGGATTGTTTTCTGGATGGTTGAAGTAAACTTTGTATTACAGACAATGTGGTGTGATAGAAAGAGCACTAGATAAAGTAATTAAATTCCATGTGCCGCACAACATTCCACCTGCTATGGTCATACATATGCCCTGTTATTGAGGAAAAAAGAATACAAAATAGTAGTAAACAAATGGTTTTAAAATATCCTAATTTGTTGTTTAATATACAAATGTATAAACTGTGTAACACATAAAGGAAACATAATAATTCTGCATGAGAAAAATCAAAATTTTATGAGGAAGTAATAGCTGATATTGAAAGAAGAGTAGGGCATTGGGAAAAAAAGACAAAGTTAGTAAAAAGTCTGTGGACAGAAAAACCTTAAGGCTTGAACATTCATAATGTTTGGGGGTCTCAGTGGGTAATTTAATGTGAATGATGAAGCCAGAAAGGGAAAAAAACAAGATAAAGTTAGGATATTAGATTGGGGGTAGTTTGGGAGGAGCTGTACATACATGTTATGATTAGGAGTGTGATAGCAAGTTATTGAATAGCCTTAGTCTCCAAATAAGGATGTTAAAATGCTTTTAAAAGTATAATGTTGGATATAGCATGAAGAGTGGATTATAGAAGAAGAAGAAAAAAGCCAGGGTAATAAGTTGGAGTTGGAGGTTGTTTCAATCAAGCTGGAGAAGATAGTGATGCCCTGAACACTTGGCAATGAGAATAGAGAAGATTTCTAAGAAAATATTCAGGGAAGTAATCTGCTGGGCTTACATTCTGATTTATTACAAGAAAGGTAAAAAGAAAATCTGTTTGGGCCTAGGAATTATAACAAAGAGGAATTATAACCCAGAGGAAACCTAAGGAGAAATAGATTAAGATAGTCCAGTTCCAGAAATATTACATTTGAAATTATATAGGAATATCTATAGGAAAATATAATCTGGACTGTTAGAATTTGGATATGGAGCTCTGGAAAGAACTGAAGTTACAGATTTTAGTGTCACTGGTTTATGAGAGTCCAGCAAAGGAAATGAAGCTCTTCATGGAGAACAGAAAGGCAACATCGTTAGTGTGACTTGAATCAGAAAGCCCAGGTTTGAGTGCCAGGCTCTGCCATTGACTATCTCTGTGACCTTGATTTCGTATTTTTCATAAATAGATGTCTTCCTGACCACTCAGAGTTACTTAAAATATTCAATGAAATAACATGCAAATGTGCTTTGGGAATTCTTAAAATATTTTCATTACTTTTGGGTGTGATATATATCCAGCAGCACCTATGTATTAACATGGTCATTGAAGCATTTCAATGATTAATTGGAAATGACCTAAATAACTGTAGGTAGAGATCATTTATATAAAAATAATACCTCAATTTACATGTAATTATTAATATGCTGACAGTAACTTCTGTTGCTATAGGGATTGTGAAAACACACTAATTATTTACACTATGACATCAAGGGAAATAAGGTAACTAAATTATATCTATAACATATTTATTACTATCTAAAAATTGATACAGAGAGGAAAAAAAGCTGGAAAGAGGTTTTCTAGAATCTTAGCCATTATTATTTTGGGGAGATGATACTATGGGTGACATCTTTCCACTTTAGTGCTGCTAAACTTACTGGTGGGGATGGAAGGGTGCAGAGTTCAAATGTTTCTTTAAAAAATTGATTCACCTGTGAAGGAAATTTACTTTTAACATGTAAAATCTTAATCACATTTGGTTGTATACAGAATCCTAACTCTGAAAATAAATTTTAAATTATCATTCTGGTCCAATTGTCTCATATCCATCACGTATAGGTAGTTAACTTAAAACTTCAAGAAAGGACATTTTCCTTGAGTCACAGATTTCATGGCAGAACTGATGACAATGATTATGATGATGATGAGAATGAAGAGACTTTTCTTTCCAGGTCGCTGCAGAAGAAAGTGGTTATTTTTTCCTTGGAATTTTTAAGGAAGCTCTCAGAGATAGCTCTGTGTTTTAATTATGTGTGTATATGGCTTTCTTGTCCTACTTAACTGTAAACATCATGAATACAGGGTTCTTTCTTCTGACTTATTCTGTGCTTATTGGCAAACGAATGGACTGCAGTAACTCCCAATTGCTTATGTGTATATTACAGTAGGTGGAATTTGAAAAAAAAAAAAGAGGTTTTCTGCAAGAGGCCATTTCACTTTTTCCTGTAGGGGACAGATGGGGAAAACACTGCATTCAATTTAGCTGGCTGCTTCTGGTTTCTTTTCATAGATTTTTTTTTTCTTTCTTTCTTGAGGGGAAAAATGTTTTTTTGTTTTTGTTTTTTACCTTTTTTTGATGGATTGTCTGGTGTTCTCTGTAAGACTTTTAAATTTGCTTTTCAGTACAGTAGAATTGCCCTCCAGATATTTTAAGGAGGTTGACTGATAAGGTTTAGTAACAGCTAACATTCTGCATCTTGGCAAAAGCTGACTGATATTTAGTAAATGTGATAAACAGTGGTCAGAAGATTAATTTTAAAGAATAGATTTGAGGTGCTCTTGGCAACATGCATGATGTATGTTACTACGGCCTTGATGCCAGGAGTATATTTGTAGAACTTAATTTATGTGGGGGTAGGACATATATGTTCTCATACTCACAGATCTGTAAGAAAATAGAAACCATAAGAATTGCATCTATAATTATTGTGTAATTTATTATTATAGTTGTAACTCCAGAGAGATTGGTATTCAATAAAGTAAAATCTACTGGAAGAATTATAACTCTAGAGCTACTGATGTTATAATGTGGATGTGTGAAAAACAAAAATCACCTGGGTTGCGGAATTTCTGCATTAGTACCCATGAGGGACTTGGTTGACTGAAGCAGAGCATGCCTGACTACTGTGATTCAAAGAAGTACTTTAGAGTAACTCCTGTTTTCTATGACTTAAATCACATCATGATATATAACACTGAATAATATAACACCAGGTCTCAAATGTTATACTGTAAACATTGATAGATGGCAACTTTAGGGTAGATAAACCCTATATACCATGTAATCTTTGGAGAAATAACATATTTTCCTAGCATATTTCTCTTCAAAATAGAGTGAAACAGCAATTCTTATTTTACAGGTGTAAACACTGTAAACAGCTAAAATCTGTTTTGATAATTTACAAGAAATTATAGTTAGAAGATCAATTCTCAGTTCATGTGATCCAGCATAATTTATAATTGTTCTTCATTATTTAAGAATTATGGGCTGGAACTGGTGGCTCAGGCCTGTAATCCCAGCACTTTGGGACGCCGAGGCGCAGATCACCTGAGGTCAGGAGTTTGAGACTAGCCTGGCCAACATGGTGAAACTCTATCTCCACTAAAAATACAAAAAATGAGCTGTGCATGGTGGTGGGCACCTGTAATTCCAGCCACTCAGGAGGCCGAGGCAGGAGAATTGCTTGAACCCAGGAGGCAGAGGTTGCAGTGAGCTGAGATCGTGCCTTTGCACTCCAGCCTGGGCAACAAGAGCAAAACTCCATCTCAAAAAAAAAAAAAAAAAGGATTATATGGGTATTTTGTCTCCTATTTTAAGTTACTCGTTCCTTTAAACAGTAATTTTTGAGATCTTGCTATGTGTAAATTACTTACCTTTCTAGGGGAGTTGGATATTTATGATCTTATTGATAGTTTAATTTATAAACCTCATTATTATTTTACATTTAAATGTTATGTTTAAAATGTTTGTCATAAAAAATTCAAGTAGTACATTGTGAAATTAAAAATAGCACTCTCTATTCATACAAGCAATCTTTATTAAAGTGTTTATATAATTGTTTTTATATTAATGATATCATATGATACATATTATTTTGCATCTTGCTTTTCTTCTCTCAATAGTAAATGATGAATTTCTTTACATGTCAGTAAATAAAGATGGAATTTTCTTGCTTTTTTAAATAGCTGACTAGTGTTCCTTCCTATGATAGTAACTACTTCTCTATTAATATAATGACTATTTTTCTCTGGCTGGTGCAGATGAGTGACAAATAATAACTATTTTTCAAGTTCTTTATTAATAGACTTTTTCTTTTACCTTTCGATACTTCTAGATTCAGTTCCCTGTTTTATTTGCTAGCTCGTATAACCATTATTTCAAGACCAGATTATCACCTCACATGTATACGGACTGCATTTTTTCTTGCTAATCTACTCACCCATAACATCCTACCTTTCATCTTACCTGCACATGGCTACCAGGACCATGATGTTAGAGCACCAGGGTAACCAATAACCTTTTATTCACTACTAAATGAAATGTACACCTACGGTAAAATTCAGTACTTTTTGGTATATGCCAATTTGATGTTCCATCCCTTCCCCTTACAAAAACTTTCTATTTCTAGTCAAACTAGATTCTATCCCTACATTTAATAACATGATATTTTTTCTGCCCCAGTCTTCCTGTTTATCTTGAACTACTGAAATCTTTACTGTCTTTTAAACCATAGTTCAAATTCTAGACCCTTTTGGGAGTCTTTCTTCCCCTCATTTTTATCAATATGCCAATAACTTAGTCCTCACTTTTCTGGGCTATCATAGCAAACTGTTTAAGGCTACATCATCTTAGTACACTACAAGAAACATAAAATTTAGGAGGAAGGATAAGTATATCACACATAACTATAATATGAAACTCAGAATGTGATACATGTTTCTCACTTGTCCCATCGACTTTGTGTGGATGCGCTTGTGCATGTAAGTGATAAATATGGTGATAATAATTAAATTTTACTGAATGTTTATTACGTGTATTAGGTTGGTGCAAAATTGAGGGTTTTGCCATTACTTTTAATGGCAGAACCCACAGTTACTTTTGCACCAATCTATTACTGGACATCATACCAAATTCTTTAAGCAATCATCTCATTTAATCCTCATAACAAGCACACAAGACAGTTGCTATTGTTTTTCTTATGTTACAGATGAGAAAATAGGCTGCAAGGGTTCAGCTACTGATCTAAGGTCATATAGCTACTACGTAATAGAGCCAGAATTTGAATCCAGGTTGTCAGAATTCCTAAACGGTATTGTATTTCTTTACTTAAAATTTATATGTTCAATCAATAAAATAGTCTTTGGAAGAACTAAATTGGCAGCCTATGACCCATAACCCATGACATAAGAAGATGTATGAGAGTGCCATTAAAGCCAAGCCATGAGAAAACATTATCCTCTAGAGACTGATAATTAACTAATAATGACATGTCATTAATAGCTAATTAAAAGAATTATATTCTCAAAATATTAGGTAAATTGCTCACTAATTTAATTAAAGGATTTTTTTCCAGGCCTCAAAGGTCTAGATAGCTTCTCATTTTTTTTTTCCCATTGCCCCATTCATTCTGAACCTGAAAGGATATAGTTCTTCATTGAAGGATATTGGCCACAAATGGGCAATTCATCTTTGTTCAAAGCAAATTATATTTCATGTTCTTCTGGAAAATTTAATCATTAGGGCAAATTCTTCCTGTATTTACTCTTTCTAGGGAAACCATTCGTTTGTCAGAATGAATGACCACTTACTACAAAATATTTTCTTCAATATGAATTAAAGTAGCCTCTTCATTTATCTCTCTGCCAGCAGTTTCACCATCTGTATTTGTTGGCCATGGTTGCTGTAACAAATTACCACAAACTTAGTGGCTTAAAACTACACAAATTTATTTTCGTATTGCTTTGTAGTTAAAACTTCCAAATGGGCTAAAACCCAGGTGTCAGCAGGGTTTCTTCCTTTCTGGAAGCTTGAGGGGAGAATCTGTATTCTTGTTTTTTCCAGCTTCTAGGGGCCACCAGCATTCTGTGGCCCATGGTCCTCCTCCTCCTCCATTTTAAAACCCAGGATGAGGAGTTTGAGTTTTCATATTGCTTCACTCTGCTATCTTCTTCTACCTACCTGGCTAATCCAGGATAATTTTCCCATCTCAGTGTCCTTAACAACATCTGTAAGTCTCTTTTGCCATGTAAGGCAACATATTCTCAGAGTCAGGGGACTAGGATGTGGACATCTTTGTTGGGTCATTATTCTGCCTACAACACTATTCCTTATTTTCATCTATTCTCCAAATCATTATCAGAGTAGACTTTCTCAAATGTATGTATGAACATTCATGTCCATATGCAAGCTTTTTCCATAGCTTACCCTTTCATACATTGCAAACAAGGTACTCCTATTCCACCACTCTTACTGAACGATTTTTGTTTCCACTTTCATTGTCTTCATAGTGTCCTTTTGTTTCTTCTTTTTGTGGCATGGGGGATAGTCAAGTAAAAAAATGAGAAAGGATGCTATACAAGTTCTAAAAGATCTGTAACACTAGGCTGTTCCCTTTGCCAATTTCCTCCTCTTTAATCACCTTTAAAATTCCTATTCATTCTTCAAGTCTTAGCTCAAGGGTTATCCTTTTTTTATATCATTTTTTTATCTGACTCTTCCCAGGGAGTATTCCTTGCCCTGTCTCCTTGATCCATCCTGAGTGTTCTGTATACATAGTGTCTAGGAATACCATTAAGTAGTTTATCCTGCTGTACAGATGCTAGGGAGTGCTGATACTTGAGTCACAGCCAGCTCAGGTAAGCTACATCCAAAGACCTATAGGGAAGCCATAGTCTCAAGTAGTGCCTACGGTGATTAGCTTTGACTATAAGGAAGATCTTTATTGACAAATATAGCAGCTGCTGAGGGCCTATGTTAGAAAGTCATCTTGGATTATCTACTCCTATTTCTGGCCTGAGATGCCTGGCTCAGTGCCTATTTAGAGAAGTCTATCCTGCACTCACATGCCAATTTATTGCAGCACTAGAGTTGGGATTCAGAATTTAGGTCAGGTTATGCCTATGTGGCATCAGAACTGCACCTTTTCTTCTCCTTTCCTAGGGCTTGTGATGTTTTGTCTTTGGACTTTTAAATACGAACAGCAGTTGCCTTAGTGCCTTCAGTCTGGATGTTTCCCTTTCTTAAACTTCATCTGGAAAGGGATGGCTGCATTTCATTTTCCAGACAATAAGGTTGTTTGCCCACACTGCTATGAGCAGATATTCTCATTGCCTTCTAACAGACATGGCTTCAGGTCCACCACTCATGGTTAGGGATCAAGGTAATTATTGTGTTTCTCAAATATCAAGGCAAACTTCTGGTAACAGCCTGACTGTAGCAAAAAGTAAAAGATAACAGCAGCAACAATAAGCTCAATTTCTTGCAGGGTCCTTTACTATAGCATATATTGATTCATCTGCAACTAGCGGATGGTGATTTTCTTAAGGTAACACAATTTATTTTCTTCATGGAATTTTTAGATTTTAGATTTTCTTCATAGAATCTTTAGACCCCTGTAAGGTATCTGAAACAAAAGGATCCAGATTTGTGTAATTCCACTACTTACAGTACATTTGTATTCCTGCTGGCCGTAAATTAAAATGGTATCTTTGTTCAAATAGCATGGTAGGGAAATAGGAGTGAATGGCAATCAAAATTTATGTTAGAAGGCAAATGGCCAAAAATAGTCAAGATAATCCTGAAAAATTAAGGTAGGATGATGACTTCTCTTACTAGAAGGAGATTTGTCATAAATTTCTAAAAATCTAGGCAGGTTGTTATCATGGAGACAGAGCATATAAACATGGAAATTTATATGTGTTATAAAGTCACTAGAGACCAGTGTGAAAGAGGTTCTCTATACAATATATGATGCTGAAACAACTGCTTTTCTATGAAAGAAAGAGAGAGAGAGAGAGACAAAGGTAGGAAAAGAGGAAAAAAGAAAGCAAAGGAAAGGAAAAGGGAAAGGGAAAGGAGAGGAGAGGAAAGGAAAAGAGGAAAAAAGGAAGGGCAGTCACGGTGGTTCATGCCTACAATCCTAGCACTTTTGGAGGCTGATGCAGGTGGATCACTGGAGCCCACCTGAGTAACATGGCAAAACCCCGTCTCTACAAAAAATACAAAAGTTAGCCGGGTGGGCAACAGAGAGAGACTCTGTCTCAAAAAAATAAATAAATAAAAAATAAAAAATAAAATAAAATAAAATAAAAAAGTAGCCAGGTGTGGTGGCAGATGCCTGTAATTCTAGCTATTCAGGAGGCTGAGGTAAGATGATCACCTGAGCCCTGGAGTTTGAGGCTGTAGTGAGCTGTGATCATGCCACTGCACTCCAGTCTGGGTGACCGTGAGGACCTGTCTCAAAAAAAAAAAAGAAAGAAAGAAAAACGGGGTCCCTACCTCACAGCAATACATAAAAGGTATTACCAAGCTTCAGCATAAAAGGAAAACCATAAAACATTTAGAGTAAAAGATGAGATAATGTGTCTAAAAACCTGCAGTAAGGAAGAATTGGCACACACACACACACACGCACACACACACCTAACCAAAAGAGGAAAGATCAATAAATTATAACAAATTAAAATTAAGAGTTTCTGCACATCAAAAGAAATAATAAATTGTGTGAAAAGAAGGAAATGAAAGCACAAAGAATTGTAACTTAGAATAAAGATCTCCAAATTTGTAAGAGGAAGGCTTTTGATCCAATAGAAAAATAGCAAATATGTATCAGCCAGTCATTGCCACAACAGTGCTGTACAACAAGCAATCTTAAACATTCTGTGGCATACAAGAATAAGCATTTATTTATCACTCATGTGTCTGTGGGTGCACTGGGGCAACTCTGACCATGTCTCTCATTCCAGCGCCCAAGGTGGAAAGTGATAAATAGTGGCCATTTGTAGCTCCCCCTCCCATGGCATAGCCCAATGCTCAAGAGGCCAGCCCTAATACCCAAGAGCATTTTGAGTTACCATTCACATCACTTTCATTCACATCACGTTGGCCAAAACAAGTTATGTAACCAAGTCCAGAGTAAAGATTCTTTCTGTTCACTTTGTAGAAAGTAAAGACATGGACAGGAATTTTAGAAAGTAAAAACAAGAGTAGGAAGCTGGGAAGTGATCAATAGTAGCCACTATTTCACTCCCCTGCAATAGTACTATATAGCCACATCCTTGTTGAAGAGGCTGCAACCAGGATGTGGCCATGTAACACTATTACAGGGAGATGAAAAGATGAAGCAAGAATCATTCGGCTGCATACATGAACAGGGATTTTAGAAAATAACAACACAAGTGAGGAGTAAACTGAGTAAATACAAGACAAATTGTTCAAGCCCATTGGCAATTAGAAAAAAATAGTCAAAAATGAAAATAGCAATTTGCATCTATCAGTTTGCTGAAATATGAAAAGTCAAACATTAAGCGCTACCAGACTTTGCTGCAGACCTCAGCAGCAGGCCTGACCCAGCGAACCCCAGCAACAGGCTGCCCCAGTAGCCCCAGGCTCTAGGGTGGTCCCTGAGGACTCAGGCTCTAGGCTGTTGTCAGCACCAGGCCAGCTCCTGCAGCTCCAGGATTGAGGCCCATGCAGGCGGACCCAGGCTCCAAGTTCACTTCAGCACCAATGCCAGTACCCACAACCCCAGAATCCAGGCCAGTCAAAAGATAACAAGTGTTGGCAAGAATGTAGAGGAAAATGAAGTTCTGTACACTGTTGGTGGGAATGTAAATTGATGGAGACATTACAAAAAACAGTATGGAGGTTCCTCAAAAAGTTAAAAATAGAACTACCATATGATCCAGAAATTCGTTCCTGGTATTTATCCGAAGAAAATGAAATCAGTATGTCAAAGAGATATCTGCATTCCCATGTTCATTGCAGCATTTTTCATGACAGCCAAGATGTGGAATCACCTAAGTGTCTGTCAACAGATGAATGGATAAAGACAATGAGACACACACACACACACACACACACAAACACACACGCAATGGGACATTATTAGCCTTGAAAAAGAAGATCTTGTCATTTGCACATTTTCAACAATATGAATGAATCTGTAAAACATTATGCTGAGTGAAATAAGCTAGGCACAGAAAGACAAATACTACATTATCTCACTTGCACGTGGAATCTAAAAAAGTCAAACTCATAGAAGCAGAGAGTAGAAGGGTAATTGCGAGGGGCTGCGATGCAGAAGAAATGAAGAGATGTTGGTCGAAGGACACAAAGTTTCAGTTGGGCAGAATGAATAATCTAGAGATCTAGTGTGTAGCCTAGTGACTCAAGTTAAAAATATTGTATTATATACTTGGAATTTGATAAAAGCATAGATCTTATTCTCACCATTTTAAAAGGTAAATACATAAGGTGATAAATTTATTAAAGCTTGATAATCAAAGTGTAATAATTTCACAATATATACACATATAACAACATCATATTGTACACTGAAATTATTTATAATATTTACTTGTCAATTTTGCCTCAATAAACCTGAAAAAATAAAAATCATTTGTAAAAATAGAAGAATTCAAGTGCTGGCAAAGATAAAGAACAATGGAAATTCTTCTGCATTGCTGGTAGGTGTGTAAAATTTCTCAACATCGTAGGAAAACAATTTGACATTATCTACTAAAGTTGAGGGTGCACATACCCAAAAATTCAGTAGTTATACCATTGGGCATATATGCACAGGAAAGTATTGGCATGAATGTACTCCTGGAAACATATGTAAGAAATTTTACAGTAGTTTATAACACACCCACACAAACAGGAAAACAGAAAGCAAAACAAAAATACTAGGAACAAACTTGGTGTTTATCATGGAAGAAGAGGGCACCAAGCTCATTAGGGAAGGAGAACTGTTCCTACTGTGGTATTGATGGCCAAAATTTATAGAGTCTGCTTTGCAGGTCACAGATCCATCATCTCATATATACACTATCCTATCTCCCAGAGTTTTATTTTCCTCCAGGGCATTTTGCTGATAGCTTCATTCTTCCAAAATGTATTTGTCACATCAGGTGTTGATGCTGGAATGCAGGCTTCAAGCCACATATAATGTGAGATTTATCTACAGTCTCTTTTTATTCTTTTCGAGTAATCACCATAAGTGAACTTTTATGTGGAAAAGAAAGTAATGAAAGGTGTGGTTTGCACTGCTAAGATAGAAAAAGAAATCTTCAAACAACGTATGCAGACATGTTTATAGATGAATATTAGAGACCAAAAGGAACACACACTTTTAGAAAGTTTTCTTCAGCAGAACTTTCTTTATAATGAAAAAGGGTTGGTAACACAAGACTGTATCATGCTTTACTATATCAAAACTTCCTTATTCTGAAGTTTTCCTATTCTATCCGGCTAGAAATTCTTGAACATGTAATCAAAACACACTGCAGAATGTACATGCAGAGTGTTTAAAAAAGGGTTGCACCATGCATTTCTACTTTGGTGCTCTAGGTCATCTTTCTCAATCACCCAGAAACCAGATCTTAAAAGTTCGTCTGAAAAATTAACAGAAGAACAAAGCTAATTCTGTACCTGAAAAGGAAGAAAGATACTCAACTATTGGGAATGTTCTTTCGCTCTGCTCTCAGTAACCAATAAACACACCAGCCTCCTGTGCCCTATTTATACTATGAGTGATGGCCAGACTAGTCACAACCAAAGTACTTAACAGCTGTTCTTTCTACTAACAGGTGAAAGTGACTATCCTTTCCCAAGCATATTCTAGGGAAGTTAATCATAGTTTTTCCCTCAGTGTTCAGTCAAGCAGTAAAAAAGCACCATGCCCTTCCAGTTACGGTCATGAGCATGTTGGTTTCTTACATTGTGATTTCTAGTTCTATAATCCAGATGAAATCAAAGTGCAGCAAGAGCAGTGAACTCTGAAATGCACATCTTTTGTCAGAAAGTTTGGTGTAAAGTCCTCACATTTCAGTTGTGAGACCTCTGGCAATTCACCAAATCCCTATAGGCTTCCATTCCTTCATCTTTAAAGGAAGCTATGTGGATTAAATTACCTGTGACATTTCATCCGGAACTAAACACTGGGATCATTATCACTATGTTCCTAAATAACAGTCCTGTCTCTGACCAGTTGTAAACTCCCCAATGTTTAGACATCCTTCCATACCTATTCATTAAATAATTATTTAAAAATTCATGATCTGCAAAATATTGCTTGCTTTTTAGAAGGGCTAGAGGCCCTGCTCTAAAAATGTGACCATCACATAGCTACCTTTAAAACAGGTGTTTGATACAAGGTAGGAGAGTTCCATATTATCCTTCTGTTTTTTCCTTCCTGGATATTATTGTTTAATGCTATTCTCTTTTCCAAAAAAATTTTACCTATTGCAAGGCTGTAATAAGTGGATAGATATCTTGCTTTGATATAGCAAACTGAGCTATACATTCAATGTAAGTTATCTTTGGATATGGGTTTTAGACGTTCACCACCTTTATTAAAATCAGTCGGAAATTTCTAACGATCATATGTAGCCCCCCAAAAGGAAGATTAAACTCGACATGCCAGGTTGTCATGTTCAAACCATGATTTGTGTTTTTCAGTTTAAAAATATTGTCTCCAATAGCTCTATTTTACATCTCCTCACTCTATGTACTTTCTATGTATTTTCTTTCTGAAAAGGTGTGAATTAATTACAAAGAGGGAAAGTTCAATTAATCTCACCTCATGAAATACAGCTCTCCAGCCCACGCTGAGCATAATCTCTACTGCTCCTGAAGAAGCAGCCACTCAGCATTCGGGTCCGACATGATATGATTTTCCTCTTGTTGTGTGTAGGGGTAACTATGGGTCCAGAAATTACTATGGCAATGTCAGAGAATAATAGATTTATGAAAATTGGAATATGTATGTGCAGTAGATAATATTTGGTTTTGATCCTGAAGTAACCATAAGTAGCTTCAAATATCATAGTAAATGTTCTTGTTACTCAGTTATTTTAGGTGGATCCTTCCAGATAACGGATTTATTATAGCACCTCACAAGCTTTGCTAAAGCCATGGTTGAGGAAACAGTTTCATTTTACCTCCCTTGTAGTTAGAGTATGTATTCCTTTTCTTTTATCTTCTGCCTCCTTTAAAATAAAACTGCAATGTGAGACATTATGTGTCATTGTTGTTTTAATCTAGAGCTGAAAGTTGGTAATTCTTTCAAGTCTGTTTAATGAAGAGCAGCGGATAGGATAGGTCAAGTTCCTCTCGTTCACTATTCTCCAGTTGTATCCCTTAAAGGTCAGAGATTCTAACCTTTATATAAGGAATCAATATCTATGGCTGCATTGATTTGTTGGGCTACTGGAAGAAAGTAACTTACTATTAAATCAGATATTTCTTCTCCCTCTCTGCATTACAATAAAAACACTTGCATTTTTACTTTTAAAACACTTTGGAAAACATCAAAAATCCTGTATAAAATTAGAATTTTTTTACTATAGAATTTAGTTGTTTTCATTTTTAATTACTTTGAGGCAGATTAATGTAATATATGACATAATTTGGGGAAATATAAGAAAATTTTATTTATTTCAATGTATGTGTTATAAATTTAAACAAGCACATCCAATTCATATTTTCATAGATATTATTTACACTGAAGTTCAGGTAGTATTTTAGGTCTCTTTAAATTGAGCTGGCTTAGAGATACAAATAGTAGGCAAATATAGTACATGGCATATGCAGCAATAGCAAAAATAATGGAGATGATTCAACAATCTCACCATTTTAAGAAACACTGGCAGAAAAATCTTAATGATCACCTTAGTCTAACCTATTATTTTGTAATGAGAAGTAGATGCTCAAAGATCTGAAACAAATGCTCGAAGTCAGAGAGAAAGGAGCAGATTAAGGAATGCATGAGCAAGTTGCCAGATTACTCATAATACACCAAGAGTCACACACTTGCAAGGGCAAATGAAGACAGAAGACCTTTGCAATTTACCTGTTCTTTAGACAAACTATTTGATTTGTTCATCTACAAGGCCTCTTGCACAACAGATAAATATATCTACCTAAATAAACATGGGAAGGAATTCCAGCTATTTTACTTGTCCCTCTTCCATGGTAACAGCTTGTTCAATAACTTCGGGTATAACCTTTGCATTTATAGATCTGTTTTTCGTTAGCTAATATTTTCCATTCCCTCTTGTAATCATGTCCTTTTGATAATGACATGATAATTTTTGATAATGAGGGAATTTTCCATTCCCTCTTGTAATCATGTCCTTTTGATTTTTATTGATACACAATGTTTGTATATATTTATAGGGTACATGTGATATTTTGTTACATACATAGATTTTGTAATGATCAAGTCAGGGTATTGAGAATATGCATCACCTGAAGCATTTATCATTTTCATATTTTAGGAATATTTCAAATCCTCTCTTCTAGTTATTTTGAGATATACATATACATTGTTGTTAACTCTAGGCACCCTACTCTGCTATTGAACATTAAAGCTTATTTCTTCTAACAAACTGTATGTGTGTACCCATTAACCAAACTGTCTCCACCCCCACCCCCAACTTACACCCCCTTCCCAGACTCTGGTAACTATCATACTACCTTCTATTGCCATCAGGTCCACCTTTTTAGCTCCCACATATGAGTGAGAACATGTGATATTTGTCTTTCTGCACTTTGGCTTATCTCACTTAACATAATGAACTCTAGGTCCATCCATGTTGCTGCAATGACAGGATTTTCTTCTATTTTATGACTAAATAGTATTCCATTGTGTATACATACCACATTTGCCTTATCCATTCATCCATTGATGGATACTTAGATCTCATATCTTTGCAGTTGTGAACAGTGCTGCAAGAAACATAGGTGTGCAGATATCTCTTGGAAATACTGATTTTCTTTCTTTTGTGTAAATACTTAGTAATGAGATTGCTATGTTGTATGGTAGTTCTATTTTTAGTTCTTTGAAAAATTTCCATACTGTTTTCCATAATGGCTGTACTAATTTACATTCAAAGCAATAATGTATAAGTCACCTTCTCTCTACGTTCTCACCAGCATCTGTTATTTTTGTCTTTGCGACAACAGCTGTTTTAACTGAGTGAAGAGGTTTTCTCTTTGTGGTTTTTATTTCATTACTCTGATGTTTAGTGGTGTTGAGCATTTTTTCATATATGTGTTGGCCATTTGTATGTCATCTTTTGAGAAATATCTGCTCATGCCCTTTGCCCCCTTTTTAATGGAATTATTAATTATTATTATTATTTCACTGTTGAGTTGTTTGAGTTTCTTGCATGTTCTGTACATTAGTCCCTTGTCAGATCAATAGTTTGCAAATATTTTCTCCCATCCTACAGGTTGTCTCTTCACTCTGTTGATTGCTTCCTTTGCTTTGCAAAAGCTCTTTAGTTACTGTGCTCTTAATTGTCTATTTTTATTTTTTTTGCCCTTGTTTTTGAGGTTTTAGCCATAAAATCTTTGCCTAAACCAACATCTTGGAGTGTTTCTTCTATATTTTCTTCTAGTAATTTTATACTTTTGAGTCTTATATTTAAGTCTAATTCATTTTGGGTTGAGTTTTGTATGTGGCGACAGATAGGGGTTAAGTTTCATTCTTCAGCATATGAATATCCAGTTTTTTCAGCACCATTTAATGAAGAAGGTGTCCTTTCCCCAGTGTATGTTCTGGGAACCTTGTTGAAAATCAGTTGGCTGTAAATTGTGTGGATTTATTTCTGGCTTATCTATGCTATTACATTGGTCTATGTGTCTGTTTTTCTACCAATACCATGCTGTTTTGATTACTGTAAGCTTGTATTATATTTTGTGGTTAGGTACTATACCTCCAGCTTTGTTCTTTTTGGTCAGGAATGCTTTCATTATTTAAACTATTTGTGGGTTCCATACAAATTTTAATATTTTTTTCTATTACTGTGAAAATTTTCATTGGCCTTTTGATAGGGATTGCATTGAATCTGTAGATTGCTTTAGATAGTATGGTCATTTTGACAATATTCTTACAATCCATGAATATGCTATGTCTTTCATTTGTGTCCCCTTCAATGTCTTTCACCAGTGTTTCATGGTTTTCCTTGTACAGATCTTTCACCTCCTTTGTTAAATTTATTCCTAGGTAGTTAATATTTTTTATAGCTGTTATAAATGGGAATGCCTTATTTATTTATTTTTTTTAGTTTATTATTGGTGTACAGAAATGCTACTGATGTTTCTATGTTGATTTTGTATCCTGCAAATTTACTGAAGTTATCAGAGCAAAGAGTTTTTTCGATGGAGTCTTTATGTTTTTCTAAATGTAAAAATATGTTATTCCCAAACAAAGACAATTTGACTTCTTTTTTTCCAGTTTGGATTTCTTTTAGTTATTTCTCCTGCCTGACTGCTATGGCTAGAACTTCTAGTACTATGTTTAATAGGGGTGGTAAAATGGGTCTCATTGTCTTGTTCCAATTATTAGAAGAAAGGCTTTCTGCTTTTTCCCATTCAGTATGATGTTGGTTGGTTTGTAATATATGACCTTCATTATATTGAGGTATGTTCCTTGCATGCCTAGTTTATTGAGGATTTTTGTCATGAAGGGATGATAAATTTTACTGAATGCTTATTCTGCATTGACTAAAAAAATCATAGGCTTTTGTCCTTCATTAAGTTGATGTGATAGTTCATGTTTATTGATTTGTATATGTTGAGACGTCCTTGCAGCCCTAGAATAAATCCCACTTGATCATGGTGTATTATCTTTTATAATACGCTGTTGGATTCAGTTTACTTTTATTTTGTTGAGAATTTTTGCATCTACGTTCATCAGGGGTAGAACTTCCTTTTTTAGTTGTGTCCTTTTCTGGTTGCGATATCAGGGTTGTGATGGCCTCACAGAGTTAGGGAGAATTCCTTCTCTGTAATTTTTTTGGAATTAGCTTTAAAAAGCATCAGTGGTATCTTTCCTCACTGGTTTGGGCTGTTGTTGTTAGTGGAAGCTGTAGTGAGGCTTTTCTGGGACAAAGACACCAGGAGAACCATTCCTTAGGCTGCAGTGCTGGCAGCAGTGAGCTGAGCATACCTGTCCTTGGACTCTCAGGGCACATATACAAGCACTGGTGTTTGCAGGCTGCGGCAGGCAAATTCTTAGCCTTGCAGACATCTTGTTCAGGTGCTGGCAGTGGCAGTGGTAGGTGGGGAGGGTGGATAGATCCTTGGGCCCCTGGGCAGCATACATTATGTGGGCAGTAGTGATGGTGGGACAACCCTTGGGCTCCCAGCCAGCAAGTACTGGTTGCAGTCGTGGCTGTGTTGGGCTGAACAAACCAGTCCTCTGGCTCTCAGGGGTTGCATGCAGGTGAATGTTGGCAGTGGTCATGGCAGAAGGCTGTGTGGGTCTGTCCTCAGGCTGTTGAGAGGAGTGCACCGTTGTCAGAGGTGGTAGACAGGGTGGGGCAATCCCCAGGCCTCCGGACAGTGTGCTTGGGCACTGGCATCAGGTGTTTTGGGACTATTGTTGGGTCCCCTGGTGGTATGCATGCACTACCAGGGCAACAGATGGATAAGGTGATCCCCAGGCCCCTGGGTGGCATGTTCAGGGTAGGCAGACCTGTACTCAGGCCGTGTGGTGGTGTGCTTGGGCACAGGCTGTGGTGGGCATGGCAGGTGATCCTGAACCCCAGGCCCCCAGGCAGCATGGTTGGGTGGCAGCAACAACTGAGCCTGTTCTCAGGGAATGTGCACACATCTGGGGGCCATGCTGCTGACTGAGAGTGCATTGCCATCAGTGGCAGCAGCCCCAGGTAGGCAGTTCTCAGGCTCCAGGGAGTGCACGCTTTGGATCCTTTGTCCCAGCAGCAGACTACATGGTGTGCTGCACTGCTCACTCCCAGGTGTGTGAGATATTGTGTGTACTAGAGTGCTGAGGACCTTGCTGCTTAGCTGGGGGCAACCTGCAATGTGTCACTGAAGCCCTTTGCATAGACACAGAGGGATGTCAGTGGGGGTCCAGGGATGTGGAGATGTAGGGGCGGTTGGGTCCCAAGGCAGAATGCAGTCTGGTGAGGAACTGGGCCCTCAAAATGGCACCATACTTCAGCTTCTTGGATCTTAAGGGGTGTGCGGTACCCAGTTTGAGCTCTTTCTCTGGAGTAATGCTATCGCACGGACTGGTGGAAGCTTCCTACAGAAGACTCAGAGCCTGCTAGGGTCAAGGGACTTTCCTGTGGTTAGGATTGCAGGAGTCCATGGTGGGAATGTAGACAGTGGGGGATATTTTACTTATCCTTTCCCCACACTGGGGAGCCTCTCCAGACTCCCAGCCAATCCTGGCCAGGCTGGCTGCCGCCTCGTTTCCTTCTCTTCCTGCGCCTCAGGTGTTTCCTGTCACTTCTCTACAGAATTCCAGTGTTCTCTCTTAGATGCTCTGTTTAAAGTGTGATTATATATGAGCTATTTCGGGTTTTCTTGTTGTTGTTGAGCAGGATAGCGTTGGGTGCCTCTAGTCAGCCACCTTGAAGCCCCCTCCATCATGATGACTTTAATCTGCTCTTATGTAATCTTAAATAAGACACTGCTTCATGGGGTTAAATTTATTCATATTGCAAGGATATTCTTTAAATCTTTCTTAGTAAGGAGTGCTGAATTTCCCTCCAATCTTAATATTGCAAATGAATACCAACTCAAGGCCAGAGAGGGCAGTGGGAACCTGTTTCTGTTACTGGCTTTGAGAGTGAGCAAATCTGGAAACACTTTAATCACACAATAATACAGTGTGTTTAGGGGAGACTTAACTCCCCAGACTCCTGTAAAGTTACAGAGCTAGTCAAGCAAGTTGTTCCAACTCAGTCTCTAGTGTGTGGTGAAAATCCCTCTGGAGAAGAACGATATTGCTACTAATTAGACCTTACAAATTGGGAGAGCCAGAAAATCTGGACTACCAGGCAGCTTTAGTATTGGTGATTGTGGACTACTTCTGTGTTGGGCAGTAAATAGTAACAACATAATAGAACAAGGTGTAATAACTTCCAAAATAAGAAAACAGAAAAAGAAAGAAAATTTTAAGAAATCTCACAAATGTAAAGACTATTTAGACTCTTAATCTTACCAGGTCATTATACCATAGACTTTTTTTTTTTTTTGAGACAGAGTCTTGCTCTGTCACCCAGGCTGGAGTGCAGTGGTGTGATCTCGGCTCACTGCAACCTCTGCCTCCCGGGTGCAAGCGATTCTCCTGCCTCAGCCTCCCAAGTAGCTAGGATTACAGATGCATGCCACCACACCAGGCTAATTTTTGTATTTTTAGTAGAGATGGGGTTTCACCATGTTGGCCAGGCTGGCCTCGAACTCCCTGACCTCAGCTGATCTGCCCACCTCAGCCTCCCAAAGTGCTGGGATTACAGGCATGAGCCACCATGCCCAGCCTATACCATAGACTTTTGAGCCACCCATGACTGTCAAAGTCTTTCTCTGTAATAAAATCTTTCCTTGTTTTAGATACAAACAAGGAAATTCTCCTCCTGCATTTTTTTTTTGTCTCTATAAATGACTCTTAGGACTCTTCAGAGACCAAGAAGACGGTTAAAAGTCTGGAATGTGCTGCCTAGTTGAGTACCCATCACAGGACCCTCTGTTATCCTCAAGGTT
Organism: Homo sapiens; assembly: GCF_000001405.40. NCBI lineage: Eukaryota > Metazoa > Chordata > Mammalia > Primates > Hominidae > Homo > Homo sapiens. The sequence goes on along the minus strand of NC_000010.11, from coordinate 105,988,200 downwards.
AGAAACATCCATGTCAAGCAGTCACTTGCTACTTCTGTAAGTCTGTGTTCTGCTCTCTGAAAACTGCCTCTCTTACTCTCACTGGGGTAAAGAGAGAAGAAAGGACTGTGAGGAGGGTCTTCAGTGCTTATCATACAACACATGAAATAGTGCTCATTTTTTAATCTCTGGGCTGGACCGTACTGGTGGGACACATTGGGTCTCTGGATTGACCTCCGGCAAGAGCCAGATGGAGACTGAAATGTCTCCATCATGAATCAGGAGAACAACTGTCAGCTACGGGGAAAGTCCATTCCGGCATGCTGGCCTGAATTCGCAAGGATCTGCTCTATACCACTTCAGATCTTCTGAAGCATGCAGTTGTCTTAGAATTATTACTGACTAAATAAATAAATAAATAAATAAATAAATAAATAAATAAAGATTTTTAAAAGGTACTCATTTCGATTGACTATTGCCTTTTCCCTCATATAGCTTAATTGAGAATGGGATAAGGATTACAATCATTTCTTGAAATGATATTTTGAAGTAATTACTGGATGAAAATGTGGAGAAGTAAACATGCTTTCTGGAAGGCAGTTTGAGTTTGTGAGCAGGCGTTGAACATTCTACATTGTTTGAGTCACTGCTTCTTCTCTTGTTTCTACTTCCATCTCAAAGAGACTTTTTTAAAAAGTTGTTTGGCTTGTATGTGTTCCTATGTCTCAATGTGCTCCTCTACGAAGTTCACAGGCAGAGCAGTATGCCTGATGTGTTAGACAGTACAATACAGCTGGGAAGCTGTGGCTCTGTCCCAAACTGGTTTAGGTCATCTCCAAATGCTATGAAGTTGAGCCTGGATCCCATAGCAAAAGGAGGACTGACTTCCTTCATCCTGAAAGGTAGGCATTTTTAGCAAAATCATTTTCTCTCCAGGCTTCTTGGCAACAGACTGGCCTCCCCATGTAAGATGGATGATGTGATTAACATAATTAAGTCTATAGACACCCAGGGGATTGCCCTGTTAGGCAACAGTTACTGATATTTCCATGTGCCTGCCTGCCTCTTTGAAGGCATCTATTTTATGTCAAATTGTCTAATTTTACTCCCTGGGCAGGTTTGTGAGCTGTGTTTGCTGTAATTGAGAAAGAATGCTGTGGGGGATTCACAGAAATCAACATAGAGAAAGAGCTTAGGAGGTCAAGTTTGAGCAACAGCTGCATTCCATTTTTGTAGGGCTCGTTTGTCAGTGGGTCTAAGATGGTGCCCTCCCTCCTTCATCATTTAAGATTTTATTATGGCTGTCCCCTGCTGAGGCCATTTTCATGTTAGAAAGGAAAAATGTCTGTTAGCTCCCAGGTGCTGGTACCACACTTAGGATCTTCAAGGGATGAAAAGTACCTTCCAAGAGTCCAGAAACAACAGGTATTGTTCAGAAAACCCTGCAGCCCACTTGATTTAGGACTGGGATCAGCAAACTATGACCTGTGGCCCAAATCCAGCTCACAACCTAATTTTATAAATAATGTCTTATTGGAACCCAGCCAAGTCCATTTGTTTACATATTGTCTATGGCTACTTTTGTATTACAACAGCAGAATTGAGTGGTTGACAGAGACCATGGCCTACAAATCCAAAATATTTACCACCTGGCCTCTTTCAGAAAAAGTTTGCAGTCTCATGACGTAGAAATTTGGATCAAATTTGAAAGATAACAAGTTATCTAGATACGGGGAAATGCTACCAAAACAAAATTTGGCAAGTTAAAAGAATTAATGGTCGACATTTTATGACAGTCGCCTGAGTCTGGGAGGTTGGGAAAATATTGAGTTGCTGTTGACAGGTATAAAGTTTCAGTTATGCAAGATGATTAAGTTCCAGAAAACTACTACACAGTATTGTATCTATACTTAACAATGCTGTATTGTACACTTAAACATCTGTTAAGAGGGTAGATATCATGTTAAACATGTTTGCCACAATTAACACAAAACAACATATTCATGGTAGCTATATCCGTGGTGTGCTGGAATTAGCTCTTCCTGATTAAGAGAGTTGATTTTTAAACAATCAAGAATTTTGCAGGCCAGTTGTTAAATAATTGATAAGCTGAAATCAGCCATGATCAAGTGGGAATACTTGCACCATGGAAATCAGAAACACTACAAACCTGGACCTCATGTTTGTTTGTTTACTGGAAAGCCAGTTTACCAGTACATTGCAATTGACAAACCTTATGCTCCCTGTGATGAAAAAAGAGAACACTAACAATAGGTCGTGAGAAGAAACAGAATAAGGAAAGTCTAACTCTGTGTGTTTTCCTTATCCCTTGGATATGCCTGCCCCTGACACAATTCAAAGAGTAGATGTTTCACATGGCTATCAGTAATACCATACATATTAGATGTTACTAGCTAGAGGAATCACACGATCTTTTTTTTATTTAAACAGAAACCATGGCAAATAGAAGCTTACACATTTGGCAAAGGAGCCTGTCATCACTATCTCTCAAGATTGGATGCATGCAGAAGAATTTTATCAGCTTCTCAAGGCAGGACATTCCACAGAACACTCTACCTTTCTGACTTTCTACCTTCATATTCCAATGTCTTAACTACATACTTTTTTTCCCAAAATAATGGTACCCAAACTTTAATGAGCATTAAAATCATTCACTGTGTTCATTAAAATTAGTATTTCCCAGCTCAATCTGAAAAAAAAAATATGTAATGGACCTGGGGCTGGACCTAGGAACCTACATTTTTAACAATTATTTCAAGTGATTCTTTTTGCTTTGGTCCACAAATAAAAGCCCCCAATTTTTTTTTATCTAACTGACTCTTAAAGCCTTTATCTAACTATAAATCCCAGGCATATGAAAGACCTAAGATGATGCCCAGGATGCATTAACACTCAATTTATTTCAGTTTACTCCCTTTTCCTCCTTGCTCAAGATTATGCCATAAGACTGAAGAAACTTGAAAATCTGCCCTTTCATGTATTTGAGACTGTTTTGTCCTCTGAATATACAGTCTATGCTTCTTGACAACCCTGTTTCCAACTTCGTCATTGCTCCACATTTGTGATTGCCATGAAGTAATAATTTTCAAACAGCCAATGTGAACAAAGAAGTATAGTTATATGTGGTGTTGAATATAGTGTTCAGTACCCCTTTCTTATCATTTGTAAGCGGTATCATTGATGTTGGGGTACCCCACTCAGATCCCACCGCTTCAACATGAGGTCCCCTATTTTCCATATTCTGAGATGGTGTCTGCTCACAGCTGAGTTACTGCTCACAGCTGAGTCCCTGCTCACAGCTGAGTCCCTTTAAGGAATTGTGCTGGTCCAGATTTGCTGCCTTTCCCAAGATTCTGCCTATTCCCAGGGTCATTATGCATCTATTGACAATGGGCAGGAAGGCACCCTCTATCTTCAATTCAAGACAACTGTAAAGGGCTCCCTCAGCTCTAAAGCTCCTGGCAGGATCAACCAAAACTTTGGTTACATCTACCTTATATAACTTCTCCCTTTGCCCACTCCTGCTTCCCTTACCTCCTCTTCTTTCCCCCAGCCACTGTCGCTGAAAGCACTACTCAATAAACTGCATGAATATGAATCTCTGTCTCAAAGCCTGTTTCCCTAGAAACCTACTCTAATGCAATATCCAATAGCTTTGTTTTTAAGGACCAATTCTAACTCCATCTTGAGTTGAATTGCTGGATTTGGGAATCCAGCTACTTCCCCAGATTCCCTTGCCCAGTTTAAAATATCTTGGGTGGAATACAGCTGTAAGGAAAAATAAATAAATAAAAGGAAAGTTCCATTTTTGACCTGCATTATAAATTCAGGTATTCCTGAAACAAGTTTATATGATACTCTGTATAAGATACTGTATTTAACACTTTTGGGAATATAAGGATTTATTTTGAAAGATACATAAATTACTCTAATGTAAAACAAAAATGATGGAAGCCAGAAGGGCAGCATATACTTGAATAAGAAGTAAGTACACATTTTGAATATAAAAGAGGGTAAGTCATGACACTTCAAAGATGATATGAACATAGACCTAAAGATAGAAAGTACTTACTTTGGTGCTGCCGTAACACAGAAAAATAAGAATGCCCATTTTAAAAGACCTCTAAGAAGACAATTTTTAAAGATTCCCACTGAGCTAGATATAGAAGCTTCTCATAATCAGAATTCCAATATGCAGTAGACCCCAGTAAATGAATCCACCTTAATAAAGCTGAATATTATTCTAAAATGTTTACTGTTTAAATGGAAGTGGTCTGCTTGATCAGTCATCCATAATTATCTCTTCTGCTGTGACTTGACTTGGGAAGCAGTTTTGGCACATTTGGCAAAGGAGCCTAAGTCATTACTATCTCTCAAGATTGGATGCATGCAGAATAATTATATCAACTTCTCAAGGCAAGACATTCTGCAAAACACTCTACCTTTGTGTTTCTACCTTCATATTCCAATGTCTTAATTGCATAATTTTTGGATTGGACCTCAGATTGACCAGGATTTGGGTTTGACACTTATTTTATGTAACCTTGGGAAAATTACATAGCTTCTTTGAAACCCAATCTTTTCATCTATAAAATGGAGATAATAATGTCACTAAAAGCTTAGTAGCAGAAAAGGTTGATAAAGCAGTTTGCACAAAATAGGTCCTGAATACATAGCACACCTATCTCATTTTTCTCCATCATTGTATATGTAAAGGGACAGAGCTTGATGAAGGAAGGTTACGTAACCCATGCAAGCTACTAAAGCTAATTAACAGTAGAGCTAGAATCAGAAGCCAGGATTTCTGGTTCTGAGATGGCATTTTTTTTCTATCAGGATGCTTCTGTAAATCAAATTTTCATCAAAATGTCCCTTTTTAGTATGTAAGGAGCCAAATTAACTATCTAAAGACATTTTCTAATGTTTATAGAACATTAGAAAAAAAAAGACATCCTTATCTATGACATCCAAGTAAAGGGCAAGTTATTTTAAAAATTTCTATTATTTAAAATAAAAGTAAAAACAGAAAGACTTAATTCTTATTATTCCACACATTTTAAGCGCTCCTCAATAATTAATATGAATATGATAAGGACACATCTCTCTGTGTGGGCCTAGTTTACACTGGATCAGATACCTTCCCCCTCATTTGCAAATTCAGACTGGATAAATGCAGTGGCTGTTCGATGTCTGATGTTTTCACAGATGCTGCTTCTGCAGTGCCAATCTGAAGCACAAAGACAGGCTACAGAGATCCACATGGAACAAGGATAACCAGGCTTAACAGCAATTCATAGCATCAGTCACTTTTATTGGCCCCAAGGCAGTGTTTCCATTATTTATGCTGCTGGGTGATCGGCTATATTTATGATACAGCTAGTTGTCACGGCTTTAAAAATATGATGGATTCCTAAATTAATCCAGTATTCCTTGTCTTGGGCATGAAGCATGGACAGTCACAAGGAGTACAGATGTATCTATAATCACAAAGTTAAATGCCCATGGGTCATGATGAAGAAGATTGGCCATTATGTCCTGAGTGGGCTTGTGTCAATAATGCTAAAGCTCTCTATGTTTACAGATTGAGTGCTGAAACATATTCTATCAACATGTATTAGTACACTGATATTCCAAGATCTTTGTGGGAAATTAAACATGAATATGACACAGATTTACCCCTCTTCCCCTGTGCATTTCTGAATCCACTTAAAATTAGTATTTGATAGCAAAGAATCTGTCTTAGATATGAAAACAAAGTGATGAGAATTTTGGAAACCTGAGAGACAACTTGTTGCTGGGATTTGTAGTGATTATAAAGATGACTGTGGCATTTGGGGAGATCAAAGAATGGATAAGGTGGTAACAAGAGAAGATTGGAAACAATTTGTATTTAGAGAATGGCATGAGCAAAGGCATAGAAATTGGAGTGAAGGATTGAAAGGTGCATAGGAAAGTATCAGGTTGAACAGTACATAGAAGCCAGATCCTACAAGATAAAGAGAGAAGTTTTGACTTAATTTGAGAAGTAGTGATGTTCCTAGATGGTGTTTTTTTCACAATGAAAGAGCTGCCTGCACCTTAGGTAAGCAAATTTGCTCTCAAAATGAAAATTAGAATAAGCAAAGACATAAATTAGGGAGCATATTATGAGAATACAGTAGTAGGAAAGGACACAGTAGGAGCAGGACTGGAACATTTTAAGTCATGTGAGAAGGAATGATAAAAGAAAACATAGAGAATGGACACTAAAATTGCTGTTGAAATTTGACCCCATGTCAAGTAGCCAAAGTCTGTACTATGGCCTACAATGACCTACACGATCTGGGGCACTGTTGATAAATCAAATGTCCTATGACTCTTCTCACCTGTCCACTCCACGCTAGATACAATTGTTTCCTTCCAATCCCTCAAATGTGGCAACCACACTCCACATAAGGGCCTATGCACTAGAGAAGGGAGAGCTCTTCCCCCAAGATAACTTCCCCAAACATGGCTCATTCCCTCATCTTTTCTGGCTCTCAGTTCAAGTGTCCCTTCTCAATGACAATTACCCTGACACCCTACTCAAAATTGCAACCCATCTGACTCCCATCCTTCCTCATAACCACAGCTCTGCATTCTCCTACTCCACTTTTATCTATAACACCTCTCATCTTCTCATACACAATGCAGTGTATCTAGTAGTTGGATATATTATTTATTGTCTGTCTCCGTCTGCTTGTATATGAACTTCACAAGGGAAGGGATCTTCTTCCATTTTGTTTACTCATGTATGCCAACTGCCTAAAAGTGTACCTGGCATATAATGGGCAGCCAGGAAATCTTGTTGAATGAATAAACCAGTGCAGCTTATTGACTATGTGTCGTTGTTGGTTGTTCTTGGATCCCATGGACCCTCATCATGGTTTACTAGTCCATTTTTGTATTTCCGTGTAGCACATGAGGCTTTTCCAGTTTCTTGTATCACTGACAGCTGTTCCAAGTTTGACTTTGTTGGATTTACAACTAGGACAGGGATGTCTTGTTCCAGTGGGTGGAGGCTCTCTGAAATCATTTTTAAAATGGACCTACTTTTATGTACACTTGGGAATCTGACTCCTGCCTTGATGCCTTGTAGGCTGTCACAAAGAAATCCCTTGTGTTGTCTGGTTCACATCTCACATTATATTTAGGATACTTTGAAATTTTAATTAGGAAATGTCTTTGAATTCAGTCTATAGTAATTAATAGCTGTGATTAGAAACAGTTTTCCATTTTCATCATATTCCTTTTAAATCAACCTGAACATATTGGCAGAACTTTGGCAGAAACAAAGGAAGTGAATTTAATGTGATCTGCAGCAGATACCCCCAAGTAATTTTCGTCTTTCCTCTAGTGTCTTCTCCAGAGTGGGAGCACCATTTAACTTGTCATCTCAGAATCTACTCAGTTGTCAGTACGTCAATACCAATACCAATGACCATTCAGAATTATGGTCATTTCTAAGTGGGAAGACAGGTGAGTTAAGAGATGAAAAATTGAGAGTAATATCCACTAAATTCTATGTGGACTTCCACTGATATCTTGCCATGCATTTTGTCTTGGCATGTACTCAGCCATTACTATGACCTTGCTTAGGACATAAACTTAGGATGAGCAAATCAGACATGTTAGTGATTTCAAGGAGATATTTGGACTGCTTAAATTCCTTCCATATAATCTGTGTGGAAATTCAATAAAGACCGAAAATTGAAAAACCATCAACAGGTAGATCTGAGTAAACATCATGTGCCTAACAAAGTGCTAGGAAATGTCGAGTTGTAAAAATGTTGCTCTAGTGAGGACTGCCAGAGAAACAAATAAAATGTGACCAAATGCAAGGGAATAAGGAATAAAAAATCATGCAAATAGACACCAAATTTTTGGTATTTGCCGTGAGTTACAAAAGCAAAAGTGATAGATCTAAGTTGTTCTGGACTTTTGGAAGTTTTTAAACATGACTTTATTATACAAGTAATACATAGAAGTTACAAAAAAAATAGGAAAAAGGAAATTTAAAAATAAGGAAAATAGGCCGGGGGCAGTGGCTTACACTTGTGATCCCAGCACTTTGTGAGGCTGAGGCAGGCGGATCATGAGGTCAGGAGATCGAGACCATCTTGGCTAACATCATGAAACCCTGTCTCTACTAAAAATGCAAAAAATTAACCAGGCATGGTGACATGCATCTGTAGTCCCAGCTACTAGGGAGGCTGAGGCAGGAGAATCGCTTGAGCCCGGGAGGCGGAGTTTGCAGTGAGCCGAGATCATGCCACTGCACTCCAGCCTGGGCAACAGAGCGAGACTCCATCTCAGGAAAAAAAAAAAAAAGAAAAAAGGAAAATAAAATTTGCTGTAATAACAACTCCAGAAATACGCAGTTTGAATATTTTGGTGCGCAACCATTTAGCATTTAGGGTATTTTCTCTCATGCTGTTTTTCTCTTTCATGTGTCATGAGTAGTTTTTGTGCTTGTTGAATGCTTTTATAAGTAAATAAGAGGCCGGGCACGGTGGCTCACGCATGTAATCCCAGCCCTTTGGGAGGCTGAAGCAGGCGAATCACAAGGTCAGGAGTTCGAGACCAGCCTGGCCAACATGGTGAAACCCCGTCTCTAATAAAAATACAAAAATTAGCTGGGCTTGGTGGCAGGCACCTGTAATCCCAGCTACTGGGGAAGCTGAGGCAGGAGAATCGTTTGAACCTGGGAGGTGGAGATTGCAGTGAGCCAAGATCGCACCATTGCCCTCCAGCCTGGGTGACAGGGTGAGACTCCATCTCAATAAATAAATAAATAAATAAATAAATAAATAAATAAATAAATCAGAACACTTAGAATAATCTTTGAAAATCCCTACAGGAAGACAAAGCTTTGGCACACGTGCTATGCTGACACTCTTCTAAGATGAAAACATGATTACAGAATGCTTTCTTAGGATTGAATTTTACAGATAAAAAGTGGCTTAATGATTACAGAGTGGATGTCAAAAAATGCCATCATCATCATCATCATCAATGACAATTGCTAAGGTGACCTCCACACTCATGGAAAATATAAATAGTTGAGTATATAGGGTACATATCTGGAAATGTGATCAATAACAGAGTGTAGCGCTTAGTGAGAGTCAAACGCAAAGTGAAGACCTTTCAGTTTACAGACTGTCAGCATCAGGCATATGCCTGGGACCTTGTTAAAAATACAGAAACTCAGCCACTACTTCAGATTCTGAGTAAGAATCTGCATTTTTTCCAAGATCCCTAGGTGATTCCTTTGCATATAAAGTTTGAAAGCGCTTGCAAATATATGTCAAGACTATTCACCGGAGGGAATGATCAATGAAACCAGTGAAGGTACAGAAACTTAGAGAAACTCTAGGTGTACCATAAAAATTTTAACATGAGTAACAAAACAAGCAATAGTAGCAAAGTGTAACACAACCAAAACAGGATCCAGAAGTGTACATACATACTTTGGAGACAATCAGCATAGATAAACTATAGCAAGGGACTAATGGTGTAAACACAGGTTATGGATGACAAAATTGAAATTGAGAATAATCCACCCATTCATGTATTTTTCTGTGCCATTTTGGGAAAGACAGCCTAAAAATATTTTTAGAGGGCTTACTGGAAATTACCAACCAAAGATCATTATTTGAGAATCACTAACTAATGTCAGGGCTGAAAAAAAATTATTGTCCCACATGTAGGAAATTATTTTTAAATACGTGCCAACTAAGTACTTACTTTTCCTCAAAGACAGAGTCAGTCAAAATGCACAAAGCCAGAGTAGAGAAACAAGGCTACTAGGACAGTTGAGAATATAATACGTTATGATTTATTGGATATACAGGAAGAAAATATTGCAACCGTAGTTATTTATTTTATCATATTTTAAATTTATGTTATTGTTTCCACTTCATAATATACATAATATTAGTAAAATTTTATGTTAGTATAGTCAATGGCAAACATTATGAATATATTATTGGGAGGTTCATATTAAAATGTTTTACTAATAGGGATATACTTATCACAAAATCATACCCTTATTGATTTTAGTTTAATATATTTTTTACCACAGTCTCCCCAAAAAGTTTGCCAATACTTTGCTACTTGATTAAGTTTAGGAAATAGTAATTTAATGGTTTTTTATTTTTATTTTAAAGAAGGCTTAGTCTACAGGTAAGAACAATTGTTTTTTAATAGATTCTTTCAGGAATTTTCATTGATGATTTATGCCAATAAGCTTTGTTTTCACCTTGTCCATTAACACACGTAAGAACCAAAAATTACCATTTTACTGGATAGAGCAGCAGCAGCAACACAGAAGAAAAAAAATGCAAATACCTCATAGCAGCATACACACACATTGTTTTTGAACATATTTGTCCCTACATAAGTATCAGTTAGTTGATGGGTTGATTAGTTAAGTAATTACTTGCCTCTCAGGCATGATGAATAGCAGTAGAATGTATTTATTTATTTATTTTCTGTATTTAGGAGGTACAAGTAAGTGCAATTTTCTTACATACATATATTTTGCAGTGGTGAAATCTGGGCTGTTAGTGTACCCATCACTTGAATAGTGAACATTGTACCCAATAGGTATGTTTTCAACACTCGGCCTCCTCCCAAACTAGAAATTCTAGAGGAAATCGATAAATTCCTGGGGAACACACAACCTCTCAAGATTGAACCAGGAAGAAATAGAACTATTGAACAGACCAATAATGAGTAGCAAGATTGAATCAGTAATAAAAAAAAAATCTCCCAACAACAAAAAGCCCAGAACCAGATGGATTCACAGCTGAATTCTACTGAACATACAAAGAAAAACTAATACTAATTCTCCCGAAACTTTTCCAAAAAATCAAGGAGGAGGGAATTCTCACTAACTTATTTTACGAGGTCAGTATTACCCTAATACCAAAATCAGACAAGGAAACAACAAAAAAAGAAAACTATAGACCAACATTCCTGATGAACATAGATACAAAACTCCTCAACAAAATACTAGTAAATCAAATCCAACAGCACATGAAAAAGATAATACACCATGGTCAGGTGATATTTTCCCCAGGAATGCAAGGATGTTTCAACATACACAAATTAATAAACATGATAGGTCACATAAACAGAATTCAGGACAAAAATCATGTGATCACCTCAGTAAATGCAGAAAAAATCAGTAAAATTCAGAATCCCTTCGTGATAAAAATCCTCAGCAAACTAGGCACAGAAAGAGCATATTTCAACATAATAAGTGCCATATATGACAAACCCACAGCCAATATGATACTTAATGGAGGAAAGTTGAAAGCATTTCCTCTAAGAACTTGAAAAAGACAAAAATGCCCACTTTGACCACTCTTAATGAATAGCAGTAGAACTTAAATCAGTGTTTCTCAAAATGTTGCCTAGTTTGTCTGTATTAGATTCACCCAGGGCCCAAGACCAAGCCTATTTGATCAGAATCTCTATGGACAGAATCCATAAATCTGTATTTACCGAAGTGCACCCCAGATGACTCTCGTGCATATTAAAGTTTGGAAACCCATGAGATTCTAGATCTTTACATTAATGTAAAGGATGATTTCCTTTTGGGACCAAAAGAATACCACAAAATTATTGTAATCTTTATTTCCAGCATTTCCATAACTTTCTAATAAAACTGTTCTGGAAGGATATAGCACACCATACTGATTATTGACATCTTGTTTTGGTAGTTTTCAAGTTATCAAGATTTATTGTAGCAGAGGTGTAAATATTGGCCTCAGCATTGGCCTATTATTTATCCATTAACTGTGTTCATCTTCTTTGCCTCAGCAGGAGACATTCTGATGTGTCTTTAACTGTGGTCACACTGCTTTAACCATGTACCTGAAATATATGGGAGGAATTGAAAAGCAACAATATCGATGAGGAGAAGAGTAGAGAAAATTGATTCATGTAGTAAGATAAATGGCCCACATTTAAAAAAATCAAATGGCACTTGAATTTTAAGAAAACAGCTTGAATCGTAAAACTCAGATGCAAAAAGAAAAAGCGCACACAGACAAAACCACCTACAAGAAAAATCCTAATGTAGAAAATTTTCTTTATGTTGGAAGCATACTGACCTTTACAATAGAGTTCAGTGAATTTTTATGGAATGAATGAATCAATTTTCAAAGGAAATGGTGTCTCTTCATAATAGCCAACACAAGTTTGCAGGGAGGCAGTCCTGTAAGGAGAAACTTTAAAATAAAGGAAAACAGTGTAGATGATGGATTCTGTAGGCCTCTGGCCAAGTCTCTCAGGAAAATAAATACAGTAGCCCTTTATTTCCAAGTAAATCTGAACAGAATAGTTGGAGGCTTAGTGTGAGGATCAATATGGTGTAGCCTCTGGGGGAGGAGCAGGGCAGGTGGCGTGGAAAGAAGTAGAGATTGCATTTCGGCAACATAATCTAGTCCCTAGCTCTTCCTCACACACCCTTAGATAAGCTAACTTCATCAAACAACACATAACCCTCCATTCTGAAGAGATGGAAACACTTCCTAGAAGTGTTTTTTGTTTGCTTATTTCTTTGCATTTTGTTTGGATTTTCTCCAACACTCTACCCTTTCCTACATGAAAATCAGCAAAGCAGCCTAAATACTCTATAACCTTATTTTTGAAAACGCATGCGCTTGAAATCTAGGGTATCATTCTCAAAAGCGTGTTGAACACCCTACAAGGATAAAGTTTTTGTCTGTTTTCTGCAGTAATATCCCAACATCCATCTGTGACCATGTAGTTTTTCTTCATGGTTCTTGAGAAGCATTTGGGAAATCTGACTTCATTTCTGAATAAAGCAGCCCCCAAGGAAGTCACTTGCATGTGACATGGCAGAAAGGCACCAGCCTTGCAAACACACTAGAGCTGCTGCGTCCTCTGGAAGTTTCCCCTGTGGCATTTGGTTAACTTTTTGTGAGCTTCTCCCATTTGTCAGCTTTTAAGAAATATGTTTCTGGCTATCAAGCCCCAATGCGGCCTAATTTACACAGATAAGGAGTTCTAATAAGATACTTTAGAAAGTCACTTATGCCATAAGGCATTCACATTATCTCAAGACATTTCTATTTGGCTAAGAGAAAATGAAAGTGTGGATTAATGCCTTTCGCATGCCATTAAAAACGGAGAGGGAGAAGCCTCATTTTGGCCACCAGGGGCCTCCTTCTCATGCCTGTTCTCTGCTGTCTCAGCTAATCGCTTTGGATACTTTCAAAAGCGAAGGATGAGTTTTGACTTCATAGAAAATGAGTTTAAACTGGAAGGTGCATGTGGCCTTCAAATGTTGGATTATTGCCATGGCATGCTGCATTTCACCTTTGATTTAAAGATAGAGAACGTGTGGCTTCCTAAAAATGAAAAACTCTTTAGCTGGATTCCCAAAAGGCTAATGCGAGCAGCTGTTAAAGATGAAATAAAAAGACAGACACCAGAATCCCAAAGAAGCAAAACGTAGTGAAATTAGGTTGCCAGTTACCTCTCTGATAACCCCGAGAAACCAGGATAGCAAATATGTCTCTTTCTCTATCTGACGAAGATTAGATATATAATTGTTAAGTGTTCCTGTAAGTATAAATCTTATAGAATGTGAGCTTGGTAAAATTGTTATTATTTTCATTAACTAGCATCATTAAGTGATTTAGAACTGGGCACTGTGCTAAGTATCTTAGATGTAATATTTCATTAAATCCTACCAAACTTGTGAGCTAAAAATTCGTATTATTATACCATTTTAAAGATAAGGAAAATTAAGTACATAAGTTTCCCTACTAGTGCATGAGATAGGTGATACTGGAGGCAACATAGTCTGATTTTTTTAGCAGATCTTTAACTGCATTTAAACAAATGAAGGTTACAAGTAATTAATTTTCTTAAAAAGTTACTTTCTGCATGGGACAATGTCTCAACAGATCCTCAAACAAAGGATTTCTCAAACAATAGCAAGAGACATGAATAATGAAACTGTTGCAGCCCTAACAGGCTCTTTCTGTAAAGCAGATGACAGTGAGTGAGAATAGCATGCCCCTCCACAGAGCGCAGCCACTTCTACATGAAGGCAGAAAGTTCATTCGGTGGCATTACAGTGCTACTCCATATATATGCCGTGGGCATGGAGAGTAAGAAAAATGGCATTTAGATAGGGCGGGAGTGCGGGGAGGTGAGGGTAGGGCTAACCTGCTCTCTTATAGGAGGGTTTTCTTTTCCTTTCAGATAACATGCAAGTCTTAACCTGAATTTCTCTTTTTTGAAATACACCCTTTTTAATTGATGGACTCCATAGATGAGCTTCAGCATGTGAAAATTCATTCTACTCTTCCTAGAACCTAGACTAATGCCTACTCTTTCCCCAGAGACCTGTTTTATGTACTCCAAAGGACTGCAGATTTGTAGACCATCTGCCACAAGAGAAACGTAGCTTCCACCAAGATCCACTTTCTTCATTTTCCCATCCTGGAGCCCCTCCTCCTTGCGGCAGCCACCCCAGCGAGCCAGAATTGTCACACTGACTTCTCAGTGAAAGAGAAAGGGCTTTGAGTTAGGCTGTGAGGAGAAGCACGCCATAAAGTTACCAGCTTAATTAAGCCATTACAGTTTTTAGGGGTTTTTAAATACAGGCAATTTGAATGTATAATTGAGCCTGTGCACAGCCTCATCCTGTGTTTTCCTTGGTCTGCTCAGAACCAGATTGTGAATGGAAAGCAGCTGGGGTAACATCCTGTGGGGGTGGAGCCAGTTCTTTATTTCTACTGCAGTCTCCACAATGGATTTTTGAATTGCTATTTCTTCTCTTGGCTTGGCCCAAAAGTGAGGGGCTCGGGCCCTCAAAATGTCAGGTACAGAGGCCAACCCAGGGGCAATACTTGTGTGACTGGGAGCCTGTCCTGGGTGATCTCAGGAACATCACTCTGCAGATTCTTCTGTAGAAAAGGCTACAGAATATGCTTGAGGGAAAGGTTCTCTTTGGAAAAATGATTCTGAACTTCAGCCCTGAGGTTAAAGAGAGAAAACTAAGGAAAGAGATTGCAACTCAATGTTCTTCAAGTTCGACTAGCAGAAATAAACGTCAATTTAAATCTCCCCTTAGGGGGGAAGTGTACGTTTGGGGAAAGTACAAAATGCCCATCACATATGCTGTGAACATAATTCAGCACTCTGCAGGCCAGGCAATTTTCCTAGCTTACTCCAACAGGATATAATATTTCTCATTTAGAGGCACATTCAGCGGATTAGTGTGTATCTTAGATTAACTCCAATTCCTAGCCAATACACATGAACATATGTAAACAAATACACATGAACATTGAGGTGCTGAAAGAAACTTTGCCAGGTATGAGCTGGTGATAAAACAGAGGTAGTCCTAAGTCCCACATCCACCGTTTCAGCTGTGGGCAATTTCACTTCTGTCCTTAAAACCAGTTCAGCATCAACATGAGAGAGGTGATATGGAGAAACTGGCTCATAATCGGTCACAAAGAAAAATGTTAACATCACTGATTTAAGAATACCTGTATATTTCTTTCAGTTCTAGTAATTTTTTACATTAACACCAGAAAATTACTATGTATCTACAGTCATTATATATAAAGTTATTTTATATAATTTATTTATAATTTTATATATATACTCTATAGATATAGTAATTTTCTGCTGATTAGAACTGAAGTCCTCTATTTCCTGACACAAGGCTAGGTTAATTTGGACTTCAGTTTCACTTCTGTTTGCAGAAAAGTTTATGTACTGGCTTCTCAAAAATGCAGACTCCCAGGAAATGTTTCTGTAAATCTTAAACCATGTGCCCATTTTCCCTATCTCTTTCCTCCTAAATGTTAACTTGATTAAATCCTACTCTGTGCAAATTTGGTTACAGGAAAACTTAGATTTGTTAAAAGAAAATGAACCATACACCATTAAGTGTATTTCAAATAGAATCTTTGGAGAGTTCCTTTAGAAAATGCATTCCTCCAATGAGGTTACATGCTTAGATTAGAACAAAACTGAAATGTATACACAGTTTCGAAGGTAAGTATCCTGCATTACAGAACGATAACTATGCCATTACAAGGTAGCTTTTGGAGCAGGGATGAGTGCCAAATGAAGATGTTCATTCTTCTTAAGGAGGCTGAATCCCAAAGAAGATTTACCTAAAATATATTTGCTCACAATAGATAGATAAATCAGTTCTTAAAATTGGGCTAGGGTTGGCATTGTTCTTTCCATTATTGTTATTTTATTTTTAGAGATAGCTCTTTTTAATGTGTATCTTACACAAAATAGGACTTCATAAATACTTACTGAGAGGAACCCTGAAAAGCTAAGTGCCTGTGATAAAATGAAATCTGAAGACAATACCAACCAAGTATGTATAGTCAAATCTTAAAAAACGAAATATTTTTTGTGGTGCTCATTCCCTCCTTTGCCAGTCCCAGGTTTTACCAGTTCACATTTAGAACATTTGATTTTCTTCAGCACCTTGGACCACATGGGAGAACAGCATTGTGTATTTCCAAGTGCACAGAGCCAGCTACCCAAGCACCTTCAGAGATAAGTATTGTCCCTTTGAAATGAGGTCACCAAATCCCACAATTCCTGAGACGAGATTGGGATGAGTGATTGCTCCTTAGTGTTATAAGTTAGTCCAAGGTTTACTGCCAATTACCACTGTTTCATTTACTCAGAGGAGTGGTTCTCAAACTTTAGGGAGCTTTGGAATCTCTAGGTGGGCTTGTTAAAACACAACTTTCTGAACTCCACCTCCAGAGTTTCTGATTAAGGAGGTCTGGTGCAGCACCCAAGATTTAATTTCTAACAAATTCCCAGGTGATGGAGAATCTGATGCTACTAGTCTCGTATGGGGACTACACTTTGAAGAACTCTGACCTAGAAAGCCCAGTTGCCTATATGAGATGCACAGTAGCTATTCTAGAGATGTCTGTCAGCAGAACTCCTCAATTGTGGCCTCAAGGAGGATTGGAGTGGGTGTAATAGGAGGCATGGGCTATGAGCAGGAGGTGAGAAGGTCAAGTGCATTAGATTTCTACCCCATCCATCCTCTAGCTCTAGGGCTAAAAACTAGAGGTATTCTAGGTGCCCTGTGGTTTTCAAGTTATTAAGCTTTTAAAGGATGAAGCCTGCCAGCTTGCAGTTTGAAGGCAAGCAGCCAAAAACTTTGAGAGGAAAAAAAATACATGGCCTTAAGGTGCTTACCCAAAAGCTTTGAATTTATCTGATAAACCAGGTCATGACTTGAGGGGAAAGAAATTCTCCTTGTTGAAATAATCAGTTACATTTCTTAACATCTGAGCAGAAGACCCCAGGGAAAAGTAGTTCCCTTTAAATTCTATAGGTTTGTGGATTGTGTCCCTTCACAGGTGTAGCTCTTTGAGACCTTGTAATTAAGAAGAATGAAATTATTTAGGAACGATCTGCATAAGGAATTGGAATGATGGGAAGGATCACACCTGTCAGAAAGGAACTGGTGTTAGGCATATGTAATCATAGCTTGATTCTTAAACTATTGTAAATAGAAATAGAAATGGAACTAATACATATTACAGAGATATTTCTGGGCTGAGGCTTGAAGGGCAAATAGAGCTTTGCCATTGCATTTCTCGATGGTACTC
The DNA here is from genome assembly GCF_000001405.40 of Homo sapiens. Classification (NCBI taxonomy): domain Eukaryota; kingdom Metazoa; phylum Chordata; class Mammalia; order Primates; family Hominidae; genus Homo; species Homo sapiens. The sequence continues at coordinate 105,970,525 of NC_000010.11, read as the reverse complement.
AAGTAATTTGGAAGGATATTCTCATAGTGTAGTCGTTGTGGGAGCATGGTTTTTTATTTTCTTTCTACATTTTTCCTTTTTCAATACTACAGATACATTCGCAGTTCCCACTATGTGCAAGGAAGTATATCAGGCCCTTTGTTTATTACAAAAATAGGTAGAACATAGTCTCTACTCTCAAATATGAAGTGGTGATAAGGTTTGGCTCTGTGTCCGCATCCAAATCTCATCTCGAATTATAATCCCCAGGTGTGGAAGGAGGGAGGTGATTGGATCATGGAGGCGGTTTCCTCCGTGCTGTTCTCGTGATAGTGAGTGCGTTCTCACGAGATCTGATGGCTTTATAAGTGTTTGGCATTTCCTCCTTCGTTCTTCTTTCTCTTGCTGCCTCGTAAAGAAAGTTCCTGCTGCTTCTTCTGCTATGATTGTAAATTTCCTGAGGCCTCTCCAGCCACGCAGAACTGTGAGTCAATTAACCTCTTTCCTTTATAAATTACCCAATCTCGGGGAAGTTTCTTCCGGCAGTGTGAAAAGGGACTAATACAAATGGTAATGCCTATCAAATTACAAAGTAGTATAGAATGCCATAAACACTTGGAGAGAGGTATAGGAGATATCATCTGGGAAATGTAAAGGAGATTTTATCATGCTTTTACAAAACTCCTCCATTAAAAGTCACCCTGATTCACGAAGGGCTTCAGTGAGACGGGGTCAGTTAAATTAATTATGGACTTCCATATTGACTCCATAATTAGTAACAGAGCCAGCTGGGCTCAAGAATCAGAAATAGAGGACTGGTTATTATTTGTATACCCTCCTTTTAAAAATTAATCCCTATGACCTGGAAATTGGATTCCCACAGGCACCCTAATCCCTTAGCCAACCTCTTCAGAGTCCAGCCTGCTGGACTCTAATCTAGTCCCTTAACCCATATATTTGGGCTGTATTTGTGCACGTAGCTTGTTTTGTCATGCTATTCTTTCTTCCTGTGGATGCAGAATCTCTTTATTGCTTTTTTCCTCCTTTCCAGGACATTGGATCTACTTCTTTTTTCTTGCAAGGCCAGCTACTAATACAGATTTTCTTCTCTCAGAAATATAACTTTTTAATTGCTTATTCATGAGAACTAAAATGTGCAATCCTAAACAAAGATGTCAAATGATAATTGGAGTCCCCTTTCAATTTGTTATGATCTGGAGTCCCTGAAGAGACAAGCATAGAGAATGCAAGTGATCACTCCAGCAAACTTTCTGATTGTGTGTTCAAGAAAACTGAGATTTGAAAAATACTTCAAATAATTGGTGGCATTTCAGATAGTTTTAAAACTAATTGGAGTGGGGATATTTGCATAAGCATATGGATTTATGTGTAGGGTGATGGTTTCTAGAAGTTGGGAGTATTATAACATTTACCTGATTTACTCTTCTAGCATGGGCTACCTAAATGACCTGCAACTTAATCTAAGTACAAAATTTCTGTCATTCCTGCTTGAGTCATTCAATTGGTTCTTTGATCAATTCATTCCGTTTTCAGTTCTCAAAAGAAAAAAACAGACGTCTTACTTTCTAACATTCCACATGTGGTTTTCATTTTCTTGCACTGTTATTAGAATTGGACTAACTTGTAGTCAATGGCAAATCTTTTTTGGAATGTAGTTGGGATAATTAAAAAGCCTTCTGCAGGAAAAAGATTGTATGAAACAATCCTGCTTCTCAATTACATTGTAATTTTTGGGAAAATGGGGCAAGTGATTTTCATTAGTTGACTTGGTGACCAATACTGTTCTCTGGCTGGACAACTTCCAGTAATTGAGGTTGTTTTCCAAGAATATCCTAATAATCAGCCACAAAAATATCATCGTTGATTCTCTAGTGGTCATTCTGTTAGGGAGCAACTGGAGATAGCCCCTCATCTCAGAGGTAAACACATGAAATTTCTCTTAACCAATGAATTAATTTGTTATAAGATGTTATTGTGTGAAAAAGATGCCACCTAATGGGAACAATTCTTGCAAGTTATGTGCCTTGAGGGGTAGGGTCAGATCCAGAGACATTACCTATCAGTAAGGTTCTTCTCCCTGTCCCAGCCGCATTCTGAGCACTTCATTTTGAGTACTATGGTACTTCATCAGGATTTAAGAGAGAACCCAACTACTCACATTAATATTGCCTCTACCATTCTAGCCTTCAGGCTTCCATATACACCAGTGAACAGCTGGGTCTCAGATCTGGATCTCACTTCTTACCATCCCCCTCCACCCCGACCCCACATACATACTTACAATCTCACAGTTACTGTATGTCTGGAAATCATCAAGTTAATCTCACTATTTCATTTGGTCCCATTCAAGTCAGCCACAAGAAACTCTAGCCTCCCAGTTCATGCCTTAGCGCAAGCCACTGTCATTTCACCTGGATGACAGTGGTGGCATTCTGTCTCCCTGCTTTCACCTTATACTCAGCAGCTAGAGTGATCCTTTTAAAGCTGTTACCTATGCCTCTACTCAAAAACTTCTATGGTTTTCCTCTACTTCAATGTAAGATTCATAAGAGTTTTTTTTTTATTATGTTCAGTACTAGCTCTACAATGTCTAGAACAACACCTAGCACATAACGCATGCTCAGAAAATATTTGTCAGAGAAATAAGGAAGGAACAGCCCCCTCCACTCAATGTTCCCTTCAGTTTCCTTAGTCTTTTTATTTATCTAACTTTATCTTTTTTATCTTAACTAAGTCTTTTTTTATCCCACATTGCTTATTCTAAAAATAAATATAATGGTAAATATAGAAAAAATCATGTAAGATTAACAAAAGTCTTGAACCATGCTTTATTCTAAACACGTCCCGTAGTAATAGTTTCTTTCATTATATCTCTTCCCAAGTCATACCTCTATATCAAACAAATTCTTGATGTTGTCACCACTTGTATTTGTTTCCCGTGGCTGCCATAACAAGTTATCACAAACTGGTGGTTTAAAACAACAGAAACCCATTCTCTCCTATGCTTGAGGCCAGAAGTCTGAAATCAGGATGCTGTTAAGTGCTGCCCTCCCTGTGGGGCTCTAGGGGAGCCTGCTTTCTTTACCTCTTGCATTTTCTGGTGGTTGCTAGCTCTCTTGGCTTGCAGCCACATTTCTCTGCTGTGTCTTCACATTGACTTCTGTTGTATGTGTCTGTTATCCTTTGTCTCTTTTCCCAGATTTCTTGAGGTATAATTGACAAATACAATTATGTGTATTTAAGGTATACAGTGTATGATTTGATATACATAAGCATTATGAAATGATTACCACTATCAAATTAACAATTCTATAACCTCATATAGTTACCGTGTGTGTGTATGTGTGTGTATATGTGTGTATGTGTGTGTATGTGTGTGTGTGTGTGTGTATGTGTCTGTGTGTGTATGGTGAGAACACTTAAGATCTAATCTCTTAGCAAATATAATACAGTATTATTTACTATAGTCAGCAGGCTATATGTTGGATTCCCAGAGCTTGTTTCTCTTATAACTGAAAGTTGGTACCTTCTTTCTGTCCCTTATAAGAACACTTTTCATCAGATTTAGGATCCACCCAGATAATGCAGGGTGAACTCATTTTAAGATTCTTAACTTAATGGCATCTGCAAAGACTTTCTCCAAGTAAGATCACATTCACAGGTTTCAGGGATTTGATGTGGACATATCTTTTGGAGAGGGTCAGCATTCAACCCACTACACCAGTGTTGAGTTCCTACAATGACATAAATCTGAATTGCTGGTGTCATTAAAATCCTTAAGTAGTTCTCCATTACCTAAGGAGTCCAGACTCCTCTGCATGTCACAAAAAGAACTTATATCTGACCCTTTCCTAATCCTCCAGGAAAATAGGTTTCATCTTGGCAGACAATCTCCCATGGCCACTCCATTTCAATGATACGTAGAGAGAAAGTAGGGGAGGAGAGATCCTTGGGAAAACTGGGCTGCCTGCTTGTCAAGCAGCTAGAGGTACAGAATATTGGGATTTGTATGCTGTGTAGCTGTGACCACCTGAATTCACTGGTGGCGCAGAAGAGGGATCACAGAGATTAGTTTGCACTTATATTTTTCATCAGATAACACATTAATTAATTGACAATAATAAACTATTAATGTTTCGTTGAATGAAGTGAATGGATACAAGCATTGAATTTCTGGTTCAATGACTCAAACTCTCCTTTACTCACTAAATGTTTACCTTTTTGCTTCTCTCCCTGGCTGAGGTCCTTTTCTATACATTTGCTTTTGAATTTGTCTTTTAAAAGACTCTACTTGTTTATGTCTCATTCAATTAATTTTTCCAAAAAGTAGCACATCCTCCCTGCTCTTCTCTATTGTCCAGATGTTGTGTCAGTGCAGGATGATAGAAGGAAGGCAGAAATGATGCTAAGTGACAAAGTGTAAAGTGCGAAATTCACGTGTATTATTTTCCCTCTTCTCCCTTTCTCCTAATGCGTTAAAGGTAATAGTCTGAATCAAGGCTCTGAATTTGTTTACTCCTTTCTGACAGAATTAGCTGGGGCAGTTCAGTCTCTCTGATTTATTGTTGAGTCTCATCACTATCCATTGCTTTCAGGCATTTTTTTTTCATTCTCTTAAAAAATTAAAATTGCCCAGAGACATCCTCCATGGTTATTCGGTTTGACAAACTTATCAGAAGATATAGAGCATGGCTTAGAGTAGATCATATTTGTCCTGGTGTATTTGTGACACAATAAGATCAAGATTATGTGGAATTGTTCTGAGTTGGTGAGAGATGAAACCCCAGAAGGAAGCAGAACAGTGGCTGGGTACCAAGGGCTAGTGGTGGGGTGGGCTGCCCCAGTGCAGGCAATAATGGGCAGGTGGGGGACATTGCCTTTGGAGAATTTAAAAATAATAATAAAACCAAATAATGTAAGCCTACCTTTTATGATCACTCAGAGCCAATAATTCTAAACAATATCAGTTATGAAATACTTCTCCCAGGGGCAAAATATTTTATTGGTCTAAGTTCCAAAAAATTATTCCAGTTTTGGTTGCATTAAAAAATACAGATGTATAAGATCCAAATTAACATTTGTTTAGCACTTATTATTTAATAAACATTGTGTTCTACATGGAAAGTATCTCTGCTACCCTATACACATTAGTTCTGTGTTTGACATTCATGAGAATTATTTACTGTTACTGCAGGCACTGTTTATCTCTAAGCCGTCCAACACATATTTTTGCATTTAAAAAGTAGATTCAAAATAAGAATAACACAGTGATTACAAAGATACAGTACTTGATCTATGTGATTCTACCATTCTATTTGACCACCTGGGATTTTTTATTTGTGTTTAAATTGTTTCAAGTAAAGTAACTTTTAAAATCTGTCAGAATCAATGCATAAGAAAAATTTATAGAAAGTATGGAAACTTCTGGAATATATTGTGGAAAAGGAATTTATATAACTCTGACAAACTTATCGTAGAGTTTAAGACATTTCCTAATTATTTGCACACCTTTTGCTTCATATGAAAGAAACTTCTGAAATTAAAATTAATGAAATGTGGTCTTCGACTTTGAAAACAGATTTAGATAGATTGACAAATCTGGCTATACTGTCTACAGAGCAAGAATATGTAAAAAAAAAAAAGATATATTTTGATGGGATTATTTACTAATTTGCAGAAGACAAGGCATAAAAACAGAAAATACCATGTTATTCATTATTGTAACTAACCAGTATTTAACTATATGATTTCTCCCTTTTTTCAAAACATAAATAATGTGCCTAAAATTGGTATTTATTACCCTTTTTTCTTTTTAATACTGTAGTATTTTATTTTTTAAACTAGGATGATATATACTATATATATGAATATATGTATGTATGTATGTGTATATGTGTGTATGTGTGTGTATGCATATATATGAATTGTAATAAAAGGAAAATTCGGTTTGTGTTTTCCTCTCCAACCCCAGCTATTATTTTTGGTTAATCTTTTCATTTCATAAATATTACTGAAAAATCCATTGTTGTCTGAAGGAAGAAAATGTTAAATTGTTCTGGCTATCAACTATGCTGGGTACACCACTTAAGCAGTAAAGTTAACTTGGTGGCTAAAATGTTGAGCTGGCAAGGTACAGGTTTCAGGCAATGTCAGTGAACAAAGAGGGAGCTATGAGAATATTCCAACCCAAATTCAGTAAGGAAGAGCCAAAAATGTGCTATGGCGGGATCTTTCATTTCTTTTCAGTCCCTGCTTACAAACAAATGATTTCCTCTCCTCCCGGACACTTTCTACTTGGTGATGTCATTTCACTTCCTTTTGCAATACATAACTCTTGGTAATCTTGTTCCTCTTGAGAATCTTGTTCCAAAAAGGAACTGGCTTTAGATTGGTCACCTACAAGTGTGTTCGTTCCTATTTTTTGAGGTGATGGGTTCTACTTGGTAAATACGAAACATTAACTATGTGAACAGATATTTAAAATTAATGGCAGGTCTAGCTTTCGATCAAGATTAAATAATTTTTTAAAAAGCTAAGAGAAAACCCTGGAAGAATTTCTAAAAACAAATTATAACTGTGTCTGTGTAAATAGTCAATAGTTTCTATCCAATGGAAAATTGCATTCTATATTCCAGCAAGGTAGGGCTGGCTTATCTAATGCCTGCTTTGAGGGCCAGGCAGTGCTCCCATAAAGAGCCTATGTGTAGTGGGTGAGATACTGAAGACATCCAGTCCCTACCTCAGAGATTACTGAGCTACTTCAAAAATAATCCTAATACTTGGCTGGTTTTTAGAAGAGCCAGTGAGCATAAACAAACAGGCTTGTCAGCATCTGGGAGGAAGTGGCTGAATGAATTTGCTAAGCCCATAAAACAAGTAAATCTTTGCTTAAGACTTGCACATGTCATTAATTAAACATTTCTATTGTGTCGTTGGTTAAAAAAAACCCACAGAAACACCTTCCATTATGTGAGCACATCTATTAATAATGAATGGATTGCCCAGTTTCAGCTCAATGTCAACAAATCTTTGCTGGATCCTGCAGAAATGCAGTGCCCTTTTTACTGCCTGTCATTAAAAGAAAAGGGCTTTAACACTTTCCTAAAAGACACAAGCAAGAAGAGGAAAAGTAGGTGCTAGAAAGGACTGATTAAAAGGCAAACCACTAATGCACTTTTTACATTAGAAAAAATGAACTTAGGCTCCAGATACAGAGCTTGACTCTGCACTTTTGTCAAGTCCCAAGTCTGTTTCAAGCATTATAGAAAATACCTGAAGTACATTTCTTGCGAACGAAAATTAGGTTAGGTAGTTCTCAGTTATATACCTCATTATTTATCATTATCACAGCCATTGCTTGCCCAAGTCTTGCTCTTGACAGATGCTTAGCAATAATTCTAATAACCAGTAACTATTTATATTCAGCATGTACCATGCATTGCACTGAACACTTTAAATAATTTGTCTTATTTAGTTCTCCCAACAAAACTATAAATTAGGCAGGATTATCATGTCATTTTAACAATGCACAAAAAAAAAACCATTGCTTTATAAACTCATACCAATTAAGATAACTCCTACACTTAAGAGACTGACTGAGGATTCATAAACAGGCTTATGTGACTCAAAAGATATCTATATTTTGCCTCCATTTACTATACAAAAGTCAATAGGCCTTTCTTCCACTGCTTCCTTTTGGCTACCCCAGCTGCTCATGACTTCCCACAGTGATATTTTTTACTTGAGTCAGTTCTTCTATGTTCCCGCAACTTTCTCTCGTCTTGTAGAACCCAGAACAAACATCTTTATTTATAACCTATGGCTTGGAAATCGTCTATGAAAAGGCAGTCTTAGACTACCAGATAAACAAGTCTATACTATAGTAGTCCCCCTAAATCCCCAGTGGATGCCTGAAACAAAGGATAGTGCTGAACCCTATATACATTGTGTTTTTTCCTATACAGTAACGGGCAGGTTGCGTTTATTATATGGATACGCTAAAGGGATGATTCATGTCCGGGGTAGGATGGCACAAGATTTCATCATGATACTCAGAACGACACGGAATATAAAACTTATTAATTGTTTATGTCTGGAATTTTTCACTTAATGTTTTTCAGACTGAATCCTCAGAAAGCAAAACCATGGGTAAGGGGGGACTACTGCATTCTGTTCATGTCTGCTAGCTACTGTGAATACACGGTACCAAGAAGTTTCTTAAAGGAATCTTCTTCACGTGGTCCTCACTGATGTCACCTCTATCCAGTTAGGGATTCTTTAGGTGCAAGTTGAATTATTTAAGACAGCTTAATGAGGATTACTTAATGCAACATGGCATGCCAATTCCCTCTTTAAATCTGTAGTTTTAACTCAGATACATCATAGTATTATTACTAAAACACCAAGATGTTTTTATTGGAATATAACATTTTCATGAACGCTTACTATACACTAGTGAGCACTTCACATGAATTAAATTATCTAATCCTTTTAATAACCTTATAAAGTTGGTCCTGTTATCTTTTTTAGTGTATAGCTAAGAATGTAAGTCACAGAGATAGGGCCAGGCTGTAGTGCATGCTGTAGTGAGTACCTTAAGGAATGAGGTTTTCTTTCCCCTTGCTGTTGGAAATATTGGTGGCTGCTCATTGCTGAGCCCCTCTTTGAGTACTGTCTTCAATGTGGAAGTCATCTATCTCAAAGTGATGTCGCATCCTCAGTGGGAGCCTTTATCTAATACCTTGTTGTTAGGGGCTATATAAGTCTGGCCCCCTACCTTAAAAGATGCAATTGTCAAGATCCATCCCAGCTCCAGAGCTCCCAGTGAGACTGGCTGAGGCCTCTGTTGCAAATGCATTGTAACACAACTCCTCTTTCTGCCTTGTCTTACTGCCTTTGTGCTCTATAGGTGCTGTTCCTAGGGGCACTCCTTAGTAAACTTCCATTCAAATTTCCTTCCTAGAGTCTATTCCTGAAAAATCAATCTAAGACAGTTGTTAGCACAAGTGGCCCAAGGAGGAAAACTCTAAAATGAGCTTTAAAGCTGAATTCTCCATCTTGGTAGAAATAAAAAACCCTGGTGTTAGGTGGAGCAGTTAAATTAATAAATCCTAATATGGGCTGGGTGCAGTGACTCATGCCTGTAATCCCAGCACTTTGGGAGGCCAAGGTGGGTGGATTACCTGAGGTCAGGAGTTTGAGACCAGCCTGCCCAACATGGTGAAACCCTGTCTCTACTAAAAATACAAAAATCAGCTGGGTGTGATGGCACACGCCTGTAGTCCTAGTTACTCAGGAGGCTGAGGTAGGAGAATCACCTGAACCCAGGAGGCGGAGGTTGCAGTGAGCAAAGATCACGCCACTGCACTCCAGCCTGGCCAATAGAGTGGGACTCCATCTTGAAAAATAAAAATAAATAAATGAATAAATAAATCCAAGTATGCTGTAGTGATGCAACTGTAACATTTTCAAAGTAATGAACTTGGATTGGAAATTGGTGGAAGAGAATGCTGGTAGGAGTAATATGAGAATATCCGGTAAATAGCAGTTATAATGAGAAGGTAATCTGATGGGTTTTGCACAGTGCCAGTGATGTATTGGAGAATGACAATACAAGATTAAGCATGGTTAATCACCAACTGAAAGTAAAGTGTGGAAGTCAAAGGTCCTCACTGGCAACAAATGAGGAGACTTATCACCTGAGTCTGAAGGCAGGGAATGTTGAGGCTCATGGTCAAGAATTAATTTTAAGAGTAATACAACTCTAGAAAAAGTTAAGTTCTCAGACTTAGCTAGTCTGCTGTGCAAGGTAAGGAGTAGGTTCGTGGACCTACTTGGGAAGGAGTAGGACCCTGAGACTTGGCATAGGAACATCTGGATCTATGCACTCAAAAACCTTGAAATCTCAGATCCCTCTAAACTCTCTTTACTTTCAGAAGTGGTTCATTTTTCCCTGTTATAGCCTAGACCTCGCCTCTTGCTTAAAGAAAATTTAGAGGCCACTGCCTTGCCTCCGCCTCTCTTCCTGGCCATTAGACCAAAAACTGGGGTCAAGTCTATATAACCCGGCCAGGAAAGTGTTGGATCTTCTAAAGGAGAAAAGAAACTATAGCTGGAAGAAGCTACAGAATATAGACAACATGTACAGAAAAAGCCAGGTGAAAATATATGAGACTGGATTCTGATGGTACTGGATCAATGAGAGTAGAAAATAGGGTGGGATCATCAAGAGTGTGGACACTCTCCTGCGATATGGAATTTAATACCTGGTAAGGATCCCAAAAGATGGTGTTAACATGTCTTAGGAGGACTCTTGGGAGGCTTTTGAAAGTGATATAGAAATTTCATGCCTAGTGGGGTATGTGCTGGAATAAAGAATCAAAAGACGGAGAAATAGCATGCTATGATAGACATGTTTTTAAGGCTAAAAAATACACCAGCTGAGCAGTTCAGCAGGAGGGCCCCAAGTATACTCCATTTACCAATGTAATAAGGAATGTGCTGGAGAGAGGAACACCAGTACCATTGAAAAGCTCAGTGATAGCTGTCCTTTGTAGGCAGGGATGACGGTGGAAGATGTTACACAGCTGGTTTCAGTGATGGCAACGTTCATAACAGAATCTGGAAAAAAATAGAGGCCAGTTGGTAGAACTTTCATAAAAAGCAAGGTGTACACAATTAAAATGAGTGTATTAGTCTGCTTGAGCTGCTAAAATAGAATACCATATAGGCTGAGTTTTCTGCTTAAATAACATAAATGTATTTTTTCACAGCTCTGGATATTGTGATATCTTGGAAGATCCAAGACTAAGATGCCAGCAGTGTTGGTTTCTAGTGAGGCCTCTCTTCCTAGCTTGCAGGCAGCCACCTTCTTGCTGTGTCCTCACGTGGTTTTTCCTTTGTGTGCATGCAGGGGGAGGGAGGGAGATGAGAGAGAGAGAGGGAGAGCTCTCTTGTCTCTTCTTATAAAACACCAGTCGCATCAGATTAAGGCCTCATCCTTATTACCTCATTTAACCTGAATTACCATTTCCCTATCTCCAAGTACAGTCACATTGGGGGTTGGGGATTCAATATATAAATAGGGGAGAATACATTTCAGCCCATACAATAAACACTTGGGCCAGTAGCATTATGGCCTGATCTTCAGAAAGCTATGAAAAAGGTAAATAGTGCATAGCTTCCTGGTAAGCCTCTTCATGTTTTGGAGGTAAAATATTTCATACTTGAAAATACTATTCTGGCAAAAGAATACCAGCTTTGACTTGGATCCAAAATAAAAAGTCTCTGCTATAGGTTTAGGCTGTGTTGCAAGTAGTTCTTCCACTTGGGCCATAAATCCAGAAAACCCTGTAGTGTTAGAAATATCTATGGTAGGAAAAGATGTCTTAGTCTCTTTGGACTGCTATAACAAAACATACTGGATAATTTATAAACAAAAAAAATTTAGTTCTCACAGTTCTGGAGGCTAGGAAGTCCAAGATCAAGGTACCAGTAGATTCCATGTCTGGTACAGGCCTGATACTGATAGATGACACTTCCTTTGTGTTCTCACATGTTGGAAGGAGCAAGGCAGCTCCCTTCAACCTCTTTTTATAAGGGTATCAAATTCCATTCATGAAGGTAGAGTCTTTATGGCTTCATCACTTCCCAGAAGGCTTCGCCTCTTAATACAATCACATTGAGTATTAGGTTCCAACGTATGGATTTTGGTGGGGCACTGACATTCAGAACCTAGCATATGTCATATAGAATTTTGAGGAAGCTCTAAAAATTGACAACATAGGGTTGTAGGGCACCACAAGGTTTCTGGAGCAAGGCTATGCCATCTGCAGTAGAAAATTATACATTGGAAAAGTAACTCCTGTTGTGTTACTGGGTCCTGATGAAGCTACAGAGCTCTTGACAAACAGGGCTTGAATCAGTCAGGTGTCCATAATAAGTTATCGTGAGTTAAATTTGATCCGACCAACCTATATTCATAAGATATAAGTCATATATTTGGGAGAATAAGCAAGTTTGCACATACAGGTGGTCCAGACTTTTTATCAACAGCCATTGTTAAATGGGTTCCTCTCTTTGGTCCACCCCTACTGTCTCAGTCTGAGGGGAGTCACTTATGACCAGTTGACAGGGGAGGAACAAAGCCAAGTCTCATTCATAAAACTGAGTCTCATTTTACTCACTTGATATGTGAGTGGAAACCAAAAATAGACTGCTGATGCACTACAGCCATGCTGGGAAGTGACCCTAAAAGGCAGCAGTGAGGAGAAATACTCCCAGTGGGCCAAAGTTTTGGCCAGTGTACTTTATTGTTCTCTTCGGATGGACAGAGAAGTGGCCTGGGGGAAGAATACCTACAGACTCATGGATGACATGTGAGTTGGCTAGTTGCTCAGGACTTTGCAGATGAAGGAATGGAAGATTAGGAACAATGAATCCAGCTAAAAGGACTGTAGTGGACCTCTGACAGCAGGCATGAAGCATAAAGATCTTGATATTACATGTTAATGCCAACACCAACCAGAAGGCATCTATCACAGAGGAGCCACCAAACAACCAAGTAGGCAGAATGATTTGGCCAGATGATATCAATCAGTCTCTATAGCTGGCTGCTCCTGCGCTTTGTTTACAAAGTTGCTATGGTGGTAGGAATAGAGGGTATGCATATGAGTAAAATCACACAGCATTTTACTCATCAAGGATGACTTAGCTACTATAAATGACAACTGTTTATTCGTTTATCAACAGAAACCAATACTGAGTGCCCAGCATGGGACTATCTCTCAAGAAGACCAGTCAGCCACTTTTTGACAAGTTAATTACATTGGACATTTTTCACTCTGGAAACAGTAAGAATTTGTCTTGACTAGAATAAAGACATAAACTGAATATGGATTTGCATTTGCTGCTCACAGGGCCTCAACTGGAACCACAATCTTAAGAATTACAGAGAATTTCATCCACTGACACAGGGCCCTGCATACCGTCACATCAGCCCAAGAATCCCTCTTTACAATAAAGAAGATATGGCAATTGGACTATGACCATGGACCCATTGGTCTTATCTCATGCAATACCTTTGAGAAGCAGTTGGGATACCTATACAAGGCACAGCTGATGTGCCTATGTGGAGACAAAGCACTATCATCGAAGATACAGAGTACCTTCAGTAGGAGATGGTTGACATTAACAACTATTTTATAGCTGTCTTCAACACATAGAGTGCATTAGTCTTAAAATTAAGGAGTGAGTGAAATTGGAGTGGTGCTCTTTACTATCATTCCAGGTGATACCTTGGGAGAATTTAATGCTTCCCATGCACACAACTCTGTACTTTGAGGTTTACAGACCCTAGTCTCCAGGAAGAAGTGCTTTCACCACGGAACAGAAAAGTATCTCAATACACTTCAAATCATGGTTTTTGCCACATTACTTTGGCCTTCTCATGTCAAGTGCCTAGCAGGAAAGGGAAGGGTACCTGATTCTGGTCATTTGCCTGAGACAGTATAGCTGTTATGCAACGGGGACAGGAAAGAGTATGCTTAGCATCCAGGTCATCCTCCAGAGTGTCTCTTGCTAATTTTTTTACTTTTAAGTTCAGGGGTACAAGTGCAGGTTTATTAAACTTGGGTCATTTTGGTTTGTTGTTTCTGATAGTGAACATGCAAGAGCAGTGGCCATGGCCTGAGAAAAGCAGAATGACCAAGGATTCAGATCACTCAGATCTTTTGAAGGTACACCACCATACCAAGTTAGCTCCTGATACCAACAGCAGTGCTAGCTGAGGGTGCTGAGAATTGAGAATAGGTAGTAAGAGAGAGCTATGGTGAGTTTCAGTTGTAGCTTTTAGTTTAGCTGCAACATTTGGGGCCACAGTTTGTTTCACAAAACTGTCTTTCCCATTTCCATAGTAAAAGAGAAAAACAGAATCCTAATGATGCTATTCACAGAACATATTTGAAGCAATCGGATCTCAGTGGCATCAGTGGTCAACCATAAAGGATATTTTGTGCAGCAAGAGTCCTCCTTCAAGGCAGGGGTACTCTTTCCCTTAGCTGCTGAAAGTGTTGATCTCTTAGCTGGAAAGAGATCACTTAGCCCAAATTGTTCCCTTCTCCAGAAACAGCCTGAATCAAATGACAGGTCACTATAGGGAAATGAAGACCAGGCACACCCACTTCGTCGGTAATTTCAGAAGGTCATCCTAATTCCAGAGTAAGCTGTGGGACTCTTTCTTGCGCCTGCATCCTGTGAATTCAACTCCTCTTTCAGCCTCACTGTACTCCTTCACTCCTCTACAGATTTTAAGAGCACACCCCAATAACTCAGTGCAATCATGTTTGTATCAGAGTCTGATTCCCAGGAAATCCATTTAAAATAGCAGCAGAGGCACAACTGTGGCCCAGGCAATCTGAATCCAGAGCCTCCTGAGAAGCCAGGCTAATCTCTTCTCTCTATTTGCTGTTCACTTTTGACTACCAAATCCCTTTTATGACATTCTTTTTGATGGCTAGTGGTGCACTATTTGTGTTTATTTTCCTCTGGTCATGTCCCTAGGTTGCACTGACTTTCAAAGCCTGCTGTGCAAAATATTTAACCAGGGACAAGTAGGGATATTATACATCCAAGCTGAGGCCCCCTGAGCTAATTGCAGAGCCCTTCTGCGTATCATGGCAGTAGACGGCACCCCACTCTCTGTCTGGCTAATCTACTGCCAAGATCTTTGATCAAACAGTTATGGACAGCTTTATGCAGCTATGGTATCACCACTAGACAGTGTCTCGAAGGGTACTTTTATATGCCAGTGATTGGTGTTGGGATCTTTGGATGTGAGGAGCACATACTCAGTGCTGACACTGAGGATGCATACATATTTGAGAGTTGAAGAAACTCTTCTTCACACATAGACAGATTAGGGGTCTGGGCCTACATTACATCCTCCTCTGATGGCTTTGGGAATGGCACAGTGGAAAAGCAAAATAGGGCTTGAAATTGAAAGGACTGATTCCAGCTGTACATTCTTTCCATGAGACCTTGAGCAAGTGGCTTTGTCCTGCCATGCCTCCTTTTTTACATCTTTTACTTTGGTGGTGTAGAATAAGGAGTACCTCCTGGGTGTTTGGGTCACTGGCGCCCACCTTGTCAGTGCCCTGTTCTCCACCTCTTTGAAAAAGACCACGAAGACACCTTCAAGACAGGTTGAGATGTAAATGTTCCCAGCCAGGGTGCAGACTTCTCCAGACCCCAAGGCTCCCCTGGGAGTGTATGTCCTCCTTCATCAGGTGGAGTCAGGGACTGATCTAGGAGTAGGAGATGGTAAGGTTCTTGTAGTGCTTACATGTCTGAAGCATTAGTTGGAGGAGGTAGCCTAGAAGAATCAGCAAAAGATACCTTCTATCATGTTAAAAAGGGAGACAGGTGTGTGTGTGTGTGTGTGTGTGTGTGTGTGTGTGTACATCAGAGGACAAAGTAGAATTACCTTTATCAGCTTTTTTTGAACATCCACTAATATTTTACTATAGAATACTTTTTTATTTTTATTTTTAATAAAATGTTTATTCTGAAATTGTGATATCTCAATTATATTAACTGACCAGTAGTTTCTTTTTTAATGAGACCCTGCTTTGAATGTTAAACTTTTTGGGATAATGGAAAAGGAGCTAGGACAATTCTTGCTTTCAAGTAAAATTGTGACTGAGCAGAAAATCAGCCAGCTATCTTGGTGCAGAGAGGTACTCCAAGTCCCGTGGAGTTGTGATGACTTCCATGTAATATTTTCATGAGGATTTCATTCTGACACATTTTTGTATCCTCAAGCTCCATTTATCTAGGCCTTTTCTGAGCACGTAAGGAAAACAAAACAAAATCCTTCAAGATTCAGGCTCTATATTATTATTATTTTATTTTTGACCATTAGATCCCCTCACCCTTTTTCTTTCAACCATGACTCGAATTTCTATATGTTAATATTTTAGAGCACAGAATATTTGCTTTTTTGTTCTCTTTTTGTCCACTGTTCCCCTGTTCCAGCCCATCTGACTTCCCAAGGAGAGATGACTGCCTACATATGGGCTATAATACAGGACTCCTTATTCTTGATTTCTTCAACCAATTCAATCATAGGCTCTTAAAATTCTGGGACTGCAGGTTCCTGACACAGTTTACCACTAAAGCAATAAACAGTTCAGTTATTAAATACCAGAAGGGAAAGGTAGTAATGGGCAAGGTAGTCCATCAAATAATGAAGACCTCTGGTTAATACATAATTAAGAGGAGTATTCATTCATTGTAGATTCATTCTCATCTCCCTTCCTACCTGCTTCTACCACCTGCTCACAAATAAGCCTCCTTCCTCCTGTTCTTTCCTTTGCCCTAAATTCTATTCTAAAACGGTGCTCAAATTAACTAGAGCTCAAATGTTAATAAACCTATAAGTCAGGAATACATTTAGCTTACTTCTCCCCGCTTACAGGCATAACACAATTACCAACTTACTAGAGCTAATGGGCAATTCTTCCCATGAGGAAGAGATGTAATAAAAATTTCTAGCTAGAAGAGTTTTTTTTTTTTTTTTGGCAGGATGGAAATGAGCAAGTGTCTTATTACAGTCATATGTACAGAGCCTTATTCTCCCGAACACACTGACTATCCTCCTGGATACCTAGTATGGTGTTGAGGTCTAAGTGACAATAAGGGGCTTACCTGAAATTCAAAGCCAGATCTGTTTGACCCCAAATGCCATGGTCTCTTTGAGACTATCAATCAGCTCACTAGCTTCTAAACTTATTTAAAGGAGGGTCCATAGGTGCTTTTGCTCATGGTTTTGTCTTCAGCACCAAACTCAGTGCCTGACACCTAGGAGATCTAATCAATGAATAAATGCTTCTGAACACAAGTCATCTCGTGGGGGGGACACAGTGACATTCCATTGACATACACCATAATCATTAACAACTATCTTCCCTCTAGGGATGTATTTGGCTCTTTTCATCAGGGACCACAAAGATTTTTAATATTACATGACAATAAATGTATATGGTTTTCTGAACATACAATATGCAGAGTAGCAATGTTTTTTCATGAAAAATAGTAGAGCAAAATGAGTGAGTTACGCAGACTGTAAAAGAAATACAATTAAATCAATTAGTTTCTGTGTAATTCATTCTGGCTCACTTCTCACAGAGTCCTCACAGGTGAGTTCAAAAGACAAACCATTCTCACTCTGACCCGTCCGAGGGTGATCTTGAGAAGTGGGTCGTGCAGTGTACATGATGCACTTCACCACAAGAGCACTACACACCCAAAGAAATAAACATTTCAAACACCAGCAAGGAAATTATTTCAAAGCCTTCACAGTATTAAAGTAGGAAATCTCACCAGTCAGGAAGAAAATTAAATAAACATCAAATGACTAATTCCTTACCTTGTGGCATGAATATTGTTTTTGTTTGTTTGTTTTGTTTTGTTTTCCTCGGATTTCAGGCTGGGAACTAGGTGGCCTTCCCCACATGAAGGTAAAAGAAAGCAGAAGAAAGCTGATGATTAAGCCATAATGGGGAAAAAGAAACTGTGTTCCCTAGCTGGCTGTAGAGAAATTTTCAAAATGTTTTCAACATCTGAATGAAGATTCTGTCAACATACACGCGGTGACCTCGGATATGGTTGTCAGGAGTGTTTGGGGCCAAATAGGGGCAGGCAACGCTTCTCTCACCAAAGCTTAGAAATAACTCAAAGTCTGTACTGAACTGGTGCTTCACTTCTCATGGGTTCCGTTTTTGTTTTTACTTAAACATTTATTATGTAAAACTACATCTTCTGTCCCAAAGGACTAAGACCTGTTTGAAAACTAAATCCATGTTTTAATCGTTTTTGTGATGAAAATTGCTTGAGTAAAATTAAAATAAATTTCCTCTCAGAAGGGGTGTAATCCCAAGCCAACATGCTGATGAATTGGAATAACAGAAGTATCGAATTGAAGCTTTGCAAGTGTTTAAAGAAAGATTTTAGACAAACTAAATTTAGCAGAGTTTATTTGAGCAAAGAAGATTCATGAATTCAGCAGCACTCAGAACCAAGAGAGGTTCAGAGAGCTTCACCCAGCAATGTGAGCAGGCAGTATTTACTGACTGAAAAAGGAAGTGATAACGTAGAAACAGCTTGATTGGTTGCAGCTTAGCATTTGCCTTGTTCAGACATGCCTGAGCAGTTTGCAGCCCGTGACTGCCTGAAAGTTCGGCTGCTGAGATTGACTGAGGCTCTGTTATTTTCTACAAGAATGTACTCTCAAGTTAGTTTGCAATTTGTTTACATGTTACCCTAGGTTACCATTTGCTAGGTATGGAGGCAGCTTTTGGTCAAACAATTTAATTCAGCAGAAGGAACCGTGAATACTCTAACTCATTGTTTAAAGTTGGAATCCTCTTTACAGACACTGCCAGTTTACATGTAGCCTTCCATTTCTTTAGTCCCTTCTGTGGCCAGAATGCAAATGACCCCTCTATTGATATCATTTTTTAAAGGCTTGTAGTAAAATACATAACTTTTACCATGGTAATCATTTTAAAGTATAAAATTCACTGCCATTAAATATATTCACAGTGTTGTACAACCATCATCACTATATAGTTGCAGAACTTTTTCATCACCTCATTGATTTTATTTATTTATTTATTTATTTATTTATTTATTTATTTATTTATTTGAGATAGGGTCTTGCTCTGTCTCCCAGGCTGGAGTGCAGTGGCGCGATCTCGGCTCACTGCAAGCTCAGCCCCTCCAGGTTCACGCCATTCTCCTGCCTCAGCCTCCCGAGTAGCTGTGACTACAGGCGCCCGCTACCACACCCAGCTAATTTCTTGTATTTTTTTTAGTAGAGACGGGGTTCCACCGTGTTAGCCGGGGGGACTCGATCTCCTGACATTGTGATCTGCCCACCTTGGCCTCCCAAAGTGTTGGGATTACAGGTGTGAGCCACCGCGCCCGGCCCACCTCATTGATTTTTAAAACCAAACTCTTTATGACTTTCTCTTTCTCTGGATGTTAATTGACAATCTGCAAGTATCAGAGACTATCAGTGAAACAGAGTAGTATCAGACATTCATCCGGCCAGCATTTACTGAATACCTAGTATGGATAGCTCATCTAGGAATATCAAATGGGGTTGGAAGTCAGGACCCTAAATTCCAGTTTCAGGTTATTCAGCCACTATGTGTACCTACCTTCTCCCTACTCCATGTCGACAATGGAGGACTTGTAAATAAACTGACCTCTCAGGCCCACGGTGAGAATCAAATAAGATTATGTGTGTCAATCAACTTTGAGAAGCATAAGGTGCTATGCAAATGCAAGAGGAAAAGAGTGAAAGCTGTTTTGAAAAATTAAAAATCTCATTTGTGGTCCTCCAGAGAGAGCCATAACCAGGAGGTGATTAACAGACATGCATAACATTGGCTTGCTAATGAATTATCACTAATGAGAAGTCAGATAATTACATGGCTTGTTAGCATCATTTTGGAGCTTGCTTCAAACTGGTATGTAAAAGATATATCAAAACCTCTCTAATGTCTATACTCTTATTATTTTTCTTAATCTTCTATCCATCCAAACATGACTCACATTGTCAGCCACATAGGACCTTATGTCTCTGTTAAGTATCTATCTCTGTGAATGAATGATGGACCGTGTGAATGTATGAATAAGTTATCTGTATGCTATCAACGGATGAATTTGCTAGGGAAGCAATGAGTGGTTCATGGTGAATTGCATTTTTCTATAATTTGTATGGAGAGGAGTCATTGGCCCATAAAATTAGGAGAAGAGAAGAAACACCATTTTCTTTTTCATTCCACAGTTAGAAATGAAAAATACTTGTTCTACATGAAGCTAGTCTGTGTAATGCTGACTTGTCCCAAAGATCAGCACTTTATCTCCAATCTGCCAATTTGAGGCAGAAAGAAAGGTTACTTTTATAAAGAACTCCTTGCTCCCTCTGCTGGCCACACAGAGCACACCACATAGAGTAGAAGCTTCTATCATTCTCAAGGGTATGAACATGAAGATCACGCAGGGCCTTTGGGATGCAAAATCTATTTGGTTGACATAAAGTGAAGAGTCTCTTACCAGCTGCAACAAAATAATGACAGAAAACAATAATTAACATGAAAATAATAATGACTAATATGTGTTAAAACTGACTCTGCTCCAAGGACAATTTGTAGCATTTTACATGCATTTTCCTTTTGAGGAGTTTCTCTGTGGCTGGTAACAGATTACTATAATTTGGGTAGAGGTAGGAACAGAAAATGACTGTTGGTCAGACACATTAAAAAATGTTCTGTTTGGCATCAATTTTAGACCATCTCTTCTAAAGAGAGATTTTATTTCAATCTTAAAGATTCAGAATCAAGTAGGGGTCTCTCAGGTTAAAAGTCATGGTATAGACATAAATGATGAACTTATTTAGTTGGAGTTTTTCTCTGTTTTATACACTTAAGACAGACGTTATAGACCAGACATCTAGTTTTAAGAGCCCAAGCAGATGTTAAAATTGGTGCATCAATCAAAATGTATCTAAGTTCTCAAAGCACACATTGGAAAAGTTCCTAGATGGGCCTCAGTAAAAGGAAACATTCTTCTGTTAGTGTTTTGTGTTCCATCAACTTTTTTTGTTCCTGCTTCAAAATGCCAAATGCTTTGGCGGGAGCTAGTGGAATCATGTTAATATAATTTTAATGTGGATATGTTTTATTTTATAAATATTGTGAGAAAATAATATGTAGTTAAGATTGCATGAAGTATGAAAAGATGTCAGACTTAGAAATCAAGCAGATGTGGTTTTAAATGTTCTGGAACATAGGGATAATCATAATAGATAGTGCTGTTGAAAGGGCTGGAGATAACAGTGCCTAACTGGGTTCATGGCATATAGTGGGTGTGTTAGGGCTCAATAGAAAAAGATAGATAGATAGATGATGATGAAGATAGATGGATGGATGGATGGATAGATAGATGGAAAGAAGGATAGATAGATTAGATAGGCAGAAGTAGATTTGCATAATGATTTGTGCTTAAGCATTTGTGAAAGCTGGTTAACCAACTTCTGTAAGGCTATTGCCTCAGAGACTGATGCTAGAGCTCAAAGTCCACAAGGCAGGCAGGCAGGAAGGAAGGGAAGACAGACGTAAAGTAGAGAAGAACAAGGACAAGCTAGAACCGACCAGCAAGACCTGGAACTCAGGAACTCAGTAGGACAAACTATAAACTGCCAGGTCTTATGGCTGTTGCCTTAGTGGTATGGGTGTCCTGCAGAAACTGGGTTTTTTTGCAAGAGAGCTAAACACACATCTAGCCCACGAGTCCAATAAGCTAATGGAGAATCCAGTGGAAGGTGAAACCATTGTAGTCTTAGTGTCTGTATCATGCCACTTAGGTAAGCAAACAAGTAAACAGCAATACATATGAGCTATCAAAGACCTGCTGCTTTGTTCTTTCCAAATCTCACAAAAGAATCTCTTTTTTGGCCCACCCAAGCCAGAAACATACAGAAAAGGGAACCTGGAAAAGTAGTTCAGCCTTGCCAAGTTGACAGATTACAAAGCCACCACTGTAGGAATCCAGTAACTGATAACTCTTGGCATCTGTGCATTATTCATGAGGAATGCCTTCCTTTAAAAAGTTTAATTATAGGTAACATTATTTAGTTGTGTGGCTTTATTATGTGTCTAGTAATGAGGAAGATGAGAAATATTCAGGACAAACAGTGAAATACGCAGTAGCCCATGAAGTGGCAAATACAGATGGCCAGTAGATTTAATCTTGAATTCTAATACCAATTCATTAAGACTGCTGGACAGTAGTTCTAGGCTGAAAAGGATTCTAAACTATATTTATTTAACAAACTTACACTGAGTGCCTACTATATGTGAAATGCTATTCTAAATGCTGAGGATATAGCAGTGAACAAAAAGTCAAAACTTCCTGCTTTCATTCGAGTAAGGGAAGATAGTTAATAAGTAAATAAATAAGCCCCACATGTAATATAATAAATATGTTTGAGCCTTGAAGAAGCAATGCTGTGATCCATGGGCAATGTCTGAGGTTGGAAGTGGTTTCTCATGAGCATGCAGATTTCATTCTCGTTTAGAAGATCAATGACATGACAATGATGCTTCTTGGGAATTTTCAGAAAGCCCTGAGAATTTTGTCCACTGAAATCAAATCCATCTTTCAAATTTCAATTGAAAGATGATTTTCAACTTTCAGAGGTCTCTGCTCTAAGAAATAAATATGGTATTATGTTGTGTATTGGTCAGAATGGTTGAAGGAGAGAGTCTATAGAACAGCTGTAGAAGACGTGACTGAAAAGGAAAACCAAGGTCACGTTGAAGAAGACTTGACTGTAAGGCCTGTTAACGTAATATCAGACTTAAGTTGTGCAGTATGAATTTTTCCAGAAGCTCATGAAGCCAGCAGTGCTAAGGCCCATGTTGGAGTCCAATCTTCCTTTTCTATATGTAGTTGATTGTGAAGACAAAAATCAATAGGCAGTTTAGGTAGTTCTTGTTAAAACTAAATTGAAATGATTGACTTTCTTCTGGAACATGCAGATTCCAGAAATCTCTGGGCCTCATTATGGACAGATAAATATTTACTCTTAAAGTTTTATAGCATAGAAAAAAGCAGATGCAATCCAAACATCGTGGGGAAAAATGCAAGAAAACTAGGTCTTTATGCAACAATTTAAGGTAATAATGTGTCCAATAAAGAGGGGTTAATGTGCCCTGACTACTGTGAGAACAAATTTATGGTCAAAATAAAAGCTCAGACTCTGGTAAACTTGGGGAAAGGGGAGAGTTATGATCTGTAGTGAATGACTCCAGTGTTCTTAAAAGAAAACCCAATGGGTTCCTCTCTACCCCTAGAAGGCTCTATTCCTACAAGTAAAAGTTGTTTTTTTTTTTTCTTGAATCAGTAAGTACATCAGACTGGTGGAGAGGGTTTATATGAGGCAAAAATAGATGTGTCTGAACAAGTTCAAGTCACTCTAGGATCTGTGAATGTTGTCTGGGCAGTGTCATATATGATGCAAAGAGCACCTACTAATAAAATACAAATGCCATTATTAGAAAGAGAAAAAAAAAAATAAAAGGAGGCTCAGCCTCAATGATTTGCATTAACTGAGGTGGGATAAATTGGTAGAAGTTAGGATGGCCCAGCGGGGAAGAAAGTCAAATGCTTCAAGTGATATAAAAATGTAAAGTTCCAAAGTCCCTTAAGATTGAAATCCAATTTCTGAAACTTGAAGGTCAATACAAATGTTTTATCAGACAATTTCTAAATGTTAGGTAATGTATTCTTTAGCTATTACATCATAATTCAAATGATGATTCTAGGTGATACTCTCTGCTCGATCTTTCCCTTCCTAGTCATAGACCTGGTACAAGGCCTCGGGGCATTCCATTTTCAGACCATGCTTTATTGCTGTGAATAAAGTCACCAAAGCTTGGACTCCTGTAATTCAAACAAACTTGAGGCTTCAGAGCCTAAAATTTCTCCATTAGAGGATTGTTCCTGTCATTGTTACTCAGTCCTATTTATACTGACATGTTCTAGAGTTTATATGGATTAATGTTTCAACAAGACGTTCAGAAAAGATAAATTTGTACATATTCTCTGACCCACCCAGATGTGAAGATAACTTTACTACTGGACAGCATATCTCAATGAATTTTGTGATCCATTTGTGGGAGAGGAAATAGAATTAAAGCACATGTTACTACTGGACAGGAGTCTTCTGGCTGGTTCATCTGGTGGTTTTTTGCCTGCTCAACTATCTGTTTCCCCTTCTATTGTCAGCACTCGATTTTCCTCTGGGGAATTTCTCTTTCACATGATACCACTCCTTGTCTTTAGCAATGGATGAAGGCCCAGGTTTGTCCCATCAAAGTACCGTATGCCTTTGGCCACAGTAATTGTTCTGTTAAACAGAAATGTGGCTCAAAGCCACTCCTCAAGTGTTTTCCAAAAAGTTCCAATGTGAGGTACTCTTCGTCCACTAGATTGCCAAGAAGTTTAGATATAAATGTGAAGCTATTTTGGCCTCCTTGCTTGTTTCGAGAATGAAGCCGACACACTGAAAAATACAATTGAGAGACAGAAAAAGATCAATTTGTGATGACATTGAATGAGAATCTAAATGCGATTTGTGAGCCAGTGAATTCTGTTTTTAGTTTAAGATAGACTGGATTATTTTTAGCTACAAATAGCAAAAATTTAATTCACTTAATATACATATAAATAAAATGTGCAGAAAAATAATATCCTAAATGAATCAGAATTTTATAAAAATAAAACTGATGTGACATGATGTAATCTCATGAATAGATGAAGATTTGAGGCAGAAAACGTTTGCTTAGCTGATTTATCCAAAGCCTCATAACAACTAATATTATGGTTAGGAATAGAACTCACTTCTTTGGTAGATAGTTTTTTAAAGTCTGAAAATAGGTTTTTTTGTGGGGGAGGGTGGTTAAGAACATAAATGATACCCAAATTGTTGGTTATTAATATAGGTTGTAACCGCAAAGCTAGGGTAAGACTGTGTACCATTTCTAAACGTGAAAATTTTCTCTTAACATGAAAATATGCTTTTCACAGTTTCTTCAGGACTTCTTTAAGAACTGGAAGCAGTGGATACTCTTTTTCACAGATGAATAACACAATCTATGTGCAGTAATTCAAACAATAATGATTAAGTTACCCCTCATAATAAACATCCCACTTATAACCAATGAACTGCCCACAACTGTCTGAAAATGCCTTTAATTCCAAAGTACAATTTGAGTTAATTATCACACTTCATAGCCAAGGATGATTACATTCATTTAAAAAATGAAAGATACTGTCAAATTGGAGGTCAAAAAAATCTAGCGTTAAATTATTCCTTTATGATATATGGGATATTCAAAATCTGGATAGTGGTATGAAATTAAAAATGCTGAAAGAGAGGTTGATCAATTTAATCTTTTTATACAATTTAGGAATCCAAAGTAATAAGTATTATTAGAGCTCACCAGTTATTGACATAACTGTGTACACCATGAATTTAGAATGTACCTTCCAACTATGAAGTTGGGTATGCTTTTCATTACTTTTCTCTTTTTAATTGTCTTCACACCTAACAGATAAAGTATATGTCTGGAGCTCTTTCTGCCATTTTATAGATTGAAAATGTAAGTTCCATAAAGAAGATTTAAAGAGCAAATTGAAAATTAGGAAGTAGCATCAAAAAAATAACAAATGTCAAACATCATTTGTGGACAAATAATTCATACACTTTTATGATGCATGAATAAGCAAAACACAAATATTGTAATTTTAAAAGGGAAAAGGAAATTAATAGATGACACAAAAAATACAGCTGAATAGCTATTAGAAAATGTTCAAATTAACTAGTAGTCAAAAAATAAGTTCTAGTATTCTATACTGCTGTAGGATGACTATAATAAACAATAATACAATATATACTTGCAAATAGCAGAAGGAGGATATTGAATGTTTTCAACACAAAGAAATGATAAGTGTTTAAGATGCTGAATCTGATCACTATGTTATATGTATCAAAATATAACTATGTACCCATAAATATATACAATTTTGTTATCAATTAAAAAATAAAAACAAAAATGTCATAGGAAACAGAAAAAAATTAAAATTGAACAATAATGATACGTTGGTTTTTTTCTGGTAGATGAACCATGGGTATAAAGGGAAAAACACACTAGCAAGAATTCAAGTACAATTTTTGGTGGGATAAACATCAATTTGCCTTCGGTCTTACAAGTGTTGCTCAAAATTTCTGCTCTACTGAGGTCATGCTGACTCTTCCCTCCCACCCAGGGAGTTGTGGCTGAATTTCTTTAAAAAATTTTTTTCCTGCTATTTTAAGTGGCTTGGGTTAGCGAAATGAAGCCACATATACTAAGGCTATCAACATCTACCTTAATGAGTTTATATATGTTCACACGCATATGCACACACACACGTATAACTTGTAATAATAAAATAATGTATAACATATATCTTATAGTACATTATACATATTATATAATATATTAGAAATGAAATAATGATTGTATATACCATACATGAAATACTATTATATTTAGCAGTAGAATTTTTTCAGATAATATTTTACATAGAATAGTGAAGCATAAAACAGATGAGTGAAACTGTCTAGTCTATAGTGGGGAATGAAGCCCAGGGTCCTACAGTCTTGTCTTCCCTCTAACCTCCTCTCACAGAGTGGATACCCCTCTTAGTGACTGTCTTCCATGGTGGTAAGAAGATAGGAAAAATAGGTAGCAGTAAAGGGAATTAAGAGATGACTCACATGACATGGAAAGCTGAATTAATATTAATGTTGCTGTTTTCTTGTCTCCTCTAATATTTTGGTGAAGACCCCTTGTGAAAGTCCATTAGTCAGGTGTGTATTTTGTGTCAATTTTATATACATTTACAATAGCGAAGACATGGAATCAACCCAAATGCCCATCAACAGTAGACTGGATAAAGAAAATGTCATACCTGTATACCATGGAATACTATGCAGCCATAAAAAGGAATGAGATCATGTCCTTTGCAAGGACATGGATGGAGCTGGAAGGTGTTGTTATCAGCAAACTAATGCAGGAACAGAACACCAAACACCGCATGTTTTCACTTACAAGTGGGAGCTAAATGATGAGAATACGTGGACACATGATGGATGGTGGGAAACAACACACACTAGGGCCTATTGAATGGCGGACGAGGGGAGGAAGAGCATCAGGAAGAACAGCTAATGGGTGCTTGGCTTAATACCTGGGTAATGGGTTGATCTTTGCAGCAAACCATGGTTGCCTGTGTAATAAACCTGCACATCCTGCACATGTACCCCAGAACTTAAAAGTTGATTAAAAAAATAGAGGAGGTATCATGTATAACTTCCTCTTAAACTGTAGTAAAAGGAGATGGCTCCACGTGTTCTATAGATGAGCTATGTATGAGAGGCCAAGTTTAGCAATTCAAGTCCAACTTAGCCCTGTGGCGCTTTTAATATCAGTTCCCACAGCAATCACACTGTTTCTTAAATCCCCTTCCCATACTAATAACCTTTGGCCCAACCAACCTTGATGCCAACTTGGGTGAGATGGAATTCTATTTAAGAATGTTTTCAATTCCTTCAAGTAAAGAGACCTAATGTTCATTCAAACCTCAACTATTTCTAAAACATAAAGCTCTGATTGCCTGTCAACTTGTAAATCTACATGCTTTTTCTTAATGTTTCCTTAATTTATGATACAGTAAGACTCTGTATAATGAATGTAAATTACCCAATCCTAATAAAACACAACTGTCCAGAAAAAAAAATGTTAAAATTGGGACACTTTAAAATAATGACCCAATCATAGTAAATTTTCTTGGTATTTACTCTAATAACAGGACTCCTGATGAACAATTTGATATTAATGTGGATGCCAGTCACCTGCACTTTTATAGAATTTTGACTTGAATTCAACTATAATTAACTAGACCATTAATTTAAAATGTAAGTGCACAAAATAATAAAATATCAGTTCATATATAAAAGACATCTTAGTTCTCCATGAAGACAAAAGACTGTCTCATATAATTGCTGTTTAATTTGTCTCAGTCACAGACAGAGACAAAACCAGCACAAACCTAGTTTGCATAAAACTTTCAGACCAAATGGTTCTATCTTTGGCTTGGTGCCATTGGTACAGACATTCCATTTGCATTATAAAAACATAAAATACCACTATATTTACTAATGGGATTGCTTTTTCTAACTTGTACCAAAACACATAGGGCTCCTCATGGCCTCAGTAGGTAAAGAAGAAAAGAAATGTACTTACTTACCAATAAGGCAAATGATAACATATCGGAGACTCTGTAACTTTTCTATATATTTGTCACCAGTTAATAGCAATGTTAAGGTTTTCTCAAGGCTTTAACAAACCAGCTTACAGATAGAAAGAACTGAGAAATTTGCTAGGGTATTAAATATCTGTTCCTCTGTTTTTCAGCAAGTCTAAATATACCAACTTCTGAGGGGGGAAAAAGAACTTCAAAATCCGAAACATACACATGCACAAGGAATTTGAAAACTTAGAATTACCATGATCAGAATATTGTTTTCTTTCTCCTTTCTTGAAAATATTTCTGTTTTCTCAGAAGTGTAAGCTGGAGACGAGGTGACCCCTGCTCAAAATTATCTACCATGTTCCATATGCCCATTGCCATTAGTAGATAGCTATCTGGCTTCTTTTATGGAAATTCAGTTCATCTTAATAATCTCCTCTGAATTCTTTCCAAACCTTTTGTGTCCCTCCATATTTCTGGAAAACAGATATAAAATTAATCATAATGTGCAGAAATATTTTGCAAGCCTAAAACAAAAATTCCTTTATCAATGTATAGAGCTGATATAATTGTACTTTATAAGGCTGCTAGCTTTTCCTTTTGCACATTTTTTAAATCTTCCCCTAAAAAGTCATCTAGTCTATGCTTAAATCAATGTTTCCTAAAATGAATATAGCATTTTCAGGTATGTATACGTACTGCGTATTCAACAGAAACTAAGACAATGGAAAAGAACATTGACAAATGCAGTTAGAGTCAAGTGCAAAAAAAAAGAAAAAAAAGAAAAGCCTTGTCTACCAGATCTAAAGATCACATGTGTACACATCTGCAATGACGGGTGACATTTTCATCTCCAAATGGAGGTCAGAATAGGAGGCAATAGAAAGATAAGCAAATAGGGCAGATAAATATGAGAGAGAGAGAGAGAGAGAGAGAGAGAGACAGACAGACAGACACTCACAAAAGCAAATCACACAAATATCTTTAGTCACTGGGAAAGCATGTTTAGGAAGTTTAACTTATCTTTATGTACATGGAACTTTTTCCAGCAATGGGACTTCTTAAGTAATGTAAATCTCTAGACAAGCTAGTTAGGGACATCTTTAATATTATGGAAGACGTATCTAGCAGTTTACATATACTGCACGGAGCAGGGCAGCACTTAATAACTGTTATTTAATGGAAGTTGTATATAGTAAAGATGCTTCTGGCCTTTATAATTGTGAATAAACATGGTTGTAGAAGCTTGTTGAAATTATAGGACATATATATTTTATATTGCTTTAAGAGGAGTTTATGATATATGGTAATTAAAACTTTGACGTATTGTCCAAGGCAAAGGGGAAAATCTGCTTTTAAAAATGGAATGTCAGGACAATAAGATGCCCATATAAATTGAATAAATAGTATGGAACCTATAAATTTGGCAATTCACTTTTAGAATATTCAAAGAACAAAACTCTTTTAGATGTCTAAGTTAGGTGTAAGAATATAAAGGCAGTTCCTAAATTATTAGTGATTCTGATTTCCAGCCTACTGCCTTGCCAGCAGACGTTCCTAACAAAGGACTCTATCACATAGTGCAGTGTAGAACTGGCCAGTCTTCAAAGGTTGAACACATCCTGATACATCCATATGCTTCTCTACTGTTTGAATTCCTATTACACACTGTCAAAGCTATACATAAATAATCTCCTTTAATCCTCATATCAACACTCCATCACTTTCAAGTAGAGAAAACTGAGTCTTTGAGAGTGTCAGCAGCTTGCCCAGGTCACATGCCAACCCAGATGCTTAATGATCATCTGCCTAGACAGATATTTGAAAAAAAGATATCTTACTCAAAGCAGAATTTGATTAGTCCCAGAATGTAGGCAATTAATTCCAGGGGCAGAAGTTTAGAGATTTCAGTAGCAAGCTTTGGTATCATTCATTTATTCATTAATATAGTTTCCAGATACTATTGAGTACTGCCTACGTGCCGTGCACTGTGCTCAAGTTAATTATACTCTTAGAGAAGGAGATATGCTGAAAGCTGCTCTATATGTCTTCTAGCAGGTCAAGAGAGAAGACAGGCTGTTCCTAGGAAACTATAGTTGAGTGTCCAGAAGAAGCTTAGGGCAGTATGACATGAGCAGTTTGTTCACAGATAGGGTGTTTGTGAGTCAAGAGTGTTGCAGACCTATGAAAGTGAGTATTTCATTTTGAGGACCATAAGTTATTTACATGTGTATATAGAAACATACATAGAGAAAAATATGTAAGCAGTAGAAAAGAGTACGAAGAAAGAAAAAAATTCAAACAACTCATTTTTATGCTTTCCTAAGCAGCAGCTATGGCAAAGATTTGAGTGCAACTAACCTATGTGGAAGGTGAAATCAGGAAGTACTCTTAGCAGAGTATGGAATAAAGACAATGGAAAGAATCCAATGAGGGTGCCTTAATGAATAGTTGACTGCTGAAAACAACAGGAGTTCAGTCTCCTGGAGACCTCTGGGAGACAACAGGGACCATTCCTCACAGCTGTAACCCCCTGTACCCAAGGGGGACGAAGCTGGATTGTTTATTCTCTAAATACCATTTATCATTCCCAGAGGGCTGTCCTCCCAACCTTCGTTTTTCCTCACTTCCTGATTATTCCACATATAGGGCTGGAGAAAGATGAGAGGCAGAGTTCCAGAAATTGCCAGTAGAGCACAGAAAAGCTTGCATAGGAAAAACAAAAGCTAGTGGGTATGGAAAGAGCATTGACAACACCTGCTAAGACCCTCCATTCATAGAAAACCACTGTCAACATTCTGGTGAATTTTCTCTATTCCATTTCTCCATTCCAGTCATACATCAATAAATGCATTTAGCCAATGGTTTCAGTATTATATTTGTGTTAGTTCACTCATGTCTTAGGTATCCCAAAAAAACTGTAATTTTAAGCAGCTGCATAATGTTTTATTATGTATGGCTTATAAATAATTTGTCCAGTTCTTTTATTGATGGACACAATTTGTTTTCAGTTCTTTTTAGTATTACAGACATTAATGCAATGAACATATTTTCACACGTTTTTTCTCTTTGCTTGAATACATTTCTAGATTAATATGCCTGCATATTTTAAGATATAGTACAATTCTCTAGAAATGCTACACAATTTACACAGTTACTGAAAGGGAATAGATGTGCCCATTTCAAATTATCCTTGGCAACAGTGAACTCTGTCTGGTACATATTAGACTTTTTAAACTTTATGAATATCTTTTTGTGTTCACTTTTTGTGAACACTTTTTGTGTTTGGAATCATGTTCACTGATTATTGCATTCTAAGATCTCCTTTCAGATGTTTTGCTATGTCTTAATGTATTCAATGTTTTCAACTGACAAGTAAAATTTGTATGTATTTATTGTGTACTATATGTTGCATGGAAATATGTATACATTATGGAATGGCTAGATCAAGCTAATTAACTATGTATTACCTCACATAGTTATTTTTTGTAGGGAGAGCACTTAAAATCTACTCAGTAATTATCAAGAATACAGTACATTGTTTTCAACTATATTCACCATGTTGTACAAGAGATTTACTGAACTTATTTCTCCTACCTAATTGAAATTTTGAATCTTTGACCAGTATCTCCTCAATATTCCCTCAACCCTAGCATATGCTAACCACCATTCTACTTTCTGCTTCTATGAGATCAACATTTTCAGATTACACTTGTAAGTGAGATTACACTTTTTGCACCTGGATTGTATTTCTTAAAATAATGTCCTCCAGGTTCATCCATTTGTCCCAAATGGCAGGACTTTTTTTTTTTCTTATTTACAGTTAATTAGTAGTTCATTGTGTATATATACCGCATTTTCTTCATCCATTCATCTACTTAGGTTGATTCTGTATCTTGGCTATTGTGAATAATGCTGCGATAAACATGGGAATGCAGGTATCTCCTCAATATATTGATTTACTTTCCTATAGATATACATCTAGCGGTGGAATTGCTCAATCATATACTAGTTTTTTTTAATTTTTGTGGAATCTCCATACTGCTTTCCATAATTACTATATTAATTTACATTCCCACCAACAGTGTTCAAGGGTTCCCTTTTCTCCACATTCTCACCAACAATCGTTATCATTCATCATTTTATCATAGTCATTGGAACAGATGTCAGGTAATATTTCATTGTGTTTTGATTTTCATTTCTGTCATGAATAGTGATGTTGATCATTTTTAATATGCCTATTGACCATATGTATGTCTTCCTTTAATAAATGTCTATTCAGCTTCCTTGCCCAGTTTAAAAATCTGGTAATAGTCATTCAAGTTCCTTGTATATTTTAGATATTAACCCCTATCAGCTGCATGGTTTGTAAATATTTTACCCCATTTCATAGGTTGTCTCTTCACTCTGTTGACTGTTTCCTTGGCTGTACAAAAACTTCTTAGTTTGATGTCATTCCATTTGTTTATTTTTGCTTTTGTTGCCTGTGCCTTTGGGTTCATATAAAAAATTCATTGCCTAGACCCATGTCATGAATAGAGCTTTTAGAGTTTAGTTTCTTACATTTAAGTCTTTAATTCATTTGAAGTTGATTTTTGTATACAATGTGAGATAAAGATGTAATTTTATTTTTTTGCCTGTGCATATCTAGTTTTTCCAACACCATTTATTGAAGAGATTGTCTATTCCCTATTGTGTGTTCTTGGAAACTTCGTTGAAAATCAGTTGACTATAAATATGTGGATTTATTTCTATTTGTTCTATTCCATTGGTCTATGTATCTGTTTTGTGATATAAATGGTTTTTACTATAACTTTTTTTGTTTCATGCTACAAAGGGTTTTTACTATAACTTTGTGGTATATTTGGAAGTAGGTTGTGTGATGCCTCCAGTTTTGTTCTTTTTGTTCAATGTTTCTTTGGCTTTTCAAAATCTTCTATGATTTCATACACACTTTGGAATTTTTTTTCTATTTCTGTGAAAAATGTCATGGAATTTTGATAGAGAGTACGCTGACTCTGTAGGTAACTTTGTGCAGTATGGACATTTAACAATATTCATTCCTCGAAACCATGAACACAATATCATTCCATTTATTAGTGTCTTCTACAGTTTTTTTCTTCAATGTTTCATAATTTTGAGTATACAGGGCACTCCCCACCTTGGTTAAATTTAGCCCTATTTTACTTTATTTGTAGCTATCATAAATGAGATTTTTTTTGTCTCTTTTTCAGATATTTTGTTTTTAATCTATAGACATGCTACTGATTTATATATCTTGATTTCATATTCTGCAACTTTACTGGATTTGTTTATTCTAATAGGTTTTCACAAAATATTTAGGGTGTTCTATATATAAGATTATATGGGAAAATTTAATCATTCATTTCCAATTTGGATGCCTTTTATTTCTTTTTCTTGCCCAATTGCTCTGGTTAGGACTACCAGTATCATGTTGAATGAAATTGCTGAGAGAAATCATTCTTGTCTTTTTCTCTTTTAGGGGGAAAGCTTTTAACTTTCACCATTGAGTACAATGACACATTGATCATTCTAAAGCAGATTGTTTAAGTTCCATGTACTTGTGAATTTTCTAAACTCTTCCTATTATTGATTTATAGTTTTATACCTTTGTAGTGAGAAAAGATATGAGATATAATTTCAATCTTCTTAAGTTTGTTGTAACTTGTTTTGTGGCCTAATACATGACCTGTTCTGGAGAATGTTCCATGTACACTTGAACATGGAGTAATCCCCCGAAGTCTTAACTCATTCTAGCATTAATTCAAAAGTCCAAGTCCAAAGTCTCTTCTGAGACAAGGTTAGTCCCTTTGCCTATGGACCTGTAAAATCAAAAACAAGTTAGTTACCTCCAAGATACAATGAAAATATAGGCATTTGGTAAATACTCCCATTCCAAAGGGAGAAATCAGCCAAAAGAAAGGGGATATAGGCCAAGTGCTGTGGCTCATGCCTGTAATCCCAGCATTTTGGGAGGAACATGTATTCTGCTGTTGTTGGATGGAATGTTCTATATATGTCTTAGACTAAATGGGTAACCATTTAGTCTAAAGTGTAGGTTGTATTAATCCATTCTCACACTGGTATAAAGAAACACCTGAGAGTGGGTAATTTTTAAAAAATAGGTCTAATTGACTCACTGTTCTGCAGGCTGTACAGAAAGCATAGAAGCTTCTGCTTCTGGGGAAGCTTCAGGAAGCTTCCAATAATGGTGGAAGGCAAAGGGGGAGCAAGCATTTCAAATGGCAGGAGCAGAAGCAAGAGAGAACAAGGGGGAAGGAGCACACTGTTAAACAACCAGATCTCATGAGAATTCACTCACTACACTGAGAACAGCACCAAGGGGATAGCGCTAAACCATTCAGGAGAAATCCACCCCCAAGATCCAACCACCTCCCACCAGTCCCCATCTCCCAACATTGGGGACCACAATTCAACATGAGACTTAGTGGGGACACAAATTCAAACCGTATTATTCCACCCCTGGCCTCCCAAATCTCATGCCCTTCTCAAATACAATAATCCCTTCTCAGTAATCCCCCAAAGTCTTAACTCATTCTAGCATGAATTCAAAAGTCCAAGTCCAAAGTCTCTTCTGAGACAAGGTTAGTCCCTTTTGCCTATGGACCTGTAAAATCAAAAACAAGTTAGTTACCTCCAAGATACAATGAAAATATAGGCATTTGGTAAATACTCCCATTCCAAAGGGAGAAATCAGCCAAAAGAAAGGGGATATAGGCCAAGTGCTGTGGCTCATGCCTGTAATCCCAGCATTTTGGGAGGCAAAGAAGGGCAGATTACCTGAGGTCAGAAGTTTGAGACCAGACTGGCCAACGTGGTGAAACCCCATCTTTACTAAAAATACAAAAATTAGCTGGGTGTGGTGGCATGTGCCTGTAATCCCAGCTGCTCAGGAAGCTGAGGCAGGAGAATCACTTGAACCTGGGAGGCGGAGGTGGCAGTGAGCCAAGATCGCACCATTGCACTCCAGCTGGGGCAAGAAGAGTGAAACTCTGTCTCAAAAAAGAAAAAGAAAAAAGAAAGGGGATATAGGCCCCATGCAAGTCTGAAACCCAGCAGAGCAGTCATTACATCTTAAAACTCCAAAATAATCTCCTTTGACTCCATGTTTCACATTCAAGGCACACTGATGCAAGAGTTGGGCTCTGAAGACTGTGGGCAGCTCTGCCTCTGTGGCTTTGCAGGGCTCAGCCCCCATGGCTTCTGTCACATGCTGACATTGAGTACCTGTGGCTTTTCCAGGCTAAGGGTACAAACTTCTGGTAGATTTACCATTTTGGGGTCTAGAGGATGGTGGCCCTCTTCTCACAGCTCCACTAGGCAGTTCACCAGTGGGGACTCTGTGGGGCTCCAACCCCACATTCCCCCTCTGCACTGCCCTAAGTACACGTTCTCCATGAGGGCTCCACCCCTGCAAATAGTTTTTGCCTGGACACCCAGACTTTTCCATACATCCTCTGAAATCTAAGCAGAGGCTCCCAAGCCTCAACTCTTGCATTCTGCCCACCCACATGCCTAACACCACGGGGAAGCTGCCAAGGCTAAGAGCTTGCACCCTCTGAAGCAGCATTCTGAGCTGTACCTGGGCCCCTCTTAGCCAACGCTGGAGCTGAAGTGGCTGGGATGCAGGAAGCAGTGTCCCAAGGCTGTGCAGGGTAGCGGGGCCCTGGACTCAGCCCAGAAAACCATTCTGTCCTCCTAGACCTCTGAGCCTATGATGGGAGGGGCTGCCCCAAATGTCTCTGAAATGCCTTAAGGCCTTTTCCTCATTGTCTTGACCATTAGCACTTGGGTCCTTTTTACTTATGCAAATTTCTACAGACCACTTGACATCCTACCCTGAAAACGAGCTTTTCTTTTCTACCGCGTCACCAGGCTGCAAATTTTCCAAACTTGTATGCTTGGCTCCCCCTTTAAATATAAGTGCCTACATTAGATCATTTCTCTGCTCAGGCATATGAGCACATGTTGTTAGAAGCAGCCAGTCCACCTCTTGAATGCATTGCTGCTTAGAAATTTCTTCCACCAGAAACCCTAAATCATCACTACCAAGTCCAAATTTCCACAGATCACTAGAGCAGGGCACAATGCAGCCAGGTTATTTGTTAAGGCATAATAAAAGTGACCTTTACTCCAGTTCACAATAAGTTCCTCATTTCCATCTGAGACCTCTGCAGCCTGGCCTTCACTGTCCATATCACTATGAGCATTTTGGTCATAATCATTCAACCAGTATCTAGAAAGTTCCAAACTTTCCCTCATCTTTATGTCTTCCTCTGAAACCCTCCACACTCTGCCTATTACCCAGTTCCAAAGTTGCTTCTACGTGTTCAGTTATCTTCATAGCAGTGCCCACTCCTAGGTACCAATTTTCTGTATTAGTCCATTATTGCATTGCTATAAAGAAACACCTGAGACTGGATAATTTATAGAAAAGGTTTAATTGGCTCATGATTATTCAGGCTGTACAGGAAGCATAGTGGCTTCTGTTTCTGGGGAAGCCTCAGAAAGCTTCCAATCATGGTGGAAGGCAAAGGGGGAGTGAGGCATCTTATGTAGTGGGAGCAGAAGCAAGAGAGAGTGATGGGGGAAGGGCTGCACACCTTTAAACAACCAGATCTTTCAAGAACTTACTAGCACAAGAACAGCACCAAGGAGATGGTGCTAAACCATTCATGTGTAAACCATTCTTGAGAAATACACTCCCATGATCCAACCAC
The DNA here is from genome assembly GCF_000001405.40 of Homo sapiens. NCBI lineage: Eukaryota > Metazoa > Chordata > Mammalia > Primates > Hominidae > Homo > Homo sapiens. Next base: position 105,933,839 of record NC_000010.11, on the reverse strand, counting down.
CCCAAACAGTGCCTATATTGGGGATTATAATTTGACATGAGATTTGCTGAAGACACAGAACCAAACCATATCAAGTTGAAGTTCAATGTTTCTTTATAAATTTTCTGTCTGGATAATCTGTCCATTGTCAAAAGTGGGATTTTGAATTCCTCTAATGTTATTGTATTACAGTCTATATCTTCTTTCAGATCTATTAATATTTCTTTACATATTTTAGGTACTCCAATGTTGGGAGCATATGTAATTTTTCCTTTTGATTAATTGACCCCTTTATTATTATCTAATGACCTTCTTTGTCTCATTTTCCAGTTTTGACTTAGTCTATTTTATCTGATATGAGTATAGCTACCCCTAATCTCTTCTGCTTTCTATTTGCATAGAATGGTATCTTTTCCACCCTTTCATTTTCAATATGTGTGTGTTCCTAAAAGTGAAGTTAGTCTGTTATAGGCAGCATGGAGCTGCATCTTTTTATCCACTCAGCCATTTTGTGTCTTTTTGTGGGAGAATTTAATTTATTTACATTATAGGTAATGATTTACAGTCAAGGCCTTACTGTTGTCATTTTGTTAATTGCTATTTGGTCACTTTGGAGATTTTTTATTCCTTTCTCTCTGTTTTACTGTCTTCTTTTATGAGTAATTAATTTTCTCTAACTGTATGTTTTGATTCTTTACTTTTTATCTTTCATGTATCCATTAAAGGTTTTTAATTTTTAGTTATTATGAGGCTTACAGAAAACATCTTATAGTTATAATAGACTATTTTAATAACTTAAATTTGATTGCATGAAAATCTCTACACTTTTATTCTACCACCACTACACATTTAAAAATTTTGATATCACAATTTAAGTATTTGTATATTATGTGTCCCTTAAGCAATTATTGTAGTTATTTTTAATATATTGTCTTTAACTTTTATATTAAAAATATAAGTGATTCATATAACACCAATACAATATTAAAGTATTCTGAATTTGACTGTGTACTTTCTGTTGCCAGTGAGTTTTATACTTTCAAGTGTTTTGGTGTTTTTTATTTGTTTGTTTGTTTGTTCTATGACAGGGTCTTGCCCTGTTGCCCAAGCTGGAGTGTAGTAGCATGATCTCGGCTCACTACAACCTCTGCCTCCTGGGTTCAAGCAATTCTAGTACCTCAGCCACCTGAGTAGCTGGAACTACAGGCTCACGCCACCACACCTGGCTAATATTTTTTCTGTGTGTGTGTGTGTGTGTGTTTATTTTTGTAGAGATGGGGTTTCACCATGTTGGCCAGGCTAGTCTCAGACTCCTGACCTCAAGCAATCTGCCTATCGTGGCCTCCCAAAGTGCTGCATTTACAGGCATGAGCAGCCATGCCAGCCTATACTTTCAAATGTTTTTGTATTGCTACATAGTGTCCTTCAAGCTTGAACTTCCTTTAGCATTTTTTTTTGTAAGATGAGTGGGGATGAACACATCCTCAGCTTATGTTTGACTGACAAAGTCTTTATCACTTCTTCATTTCTGAAATATGACTTTGCTGGGTACAGTTTTCTTTATAGGCAGTTTTTTTTTTTTCCTTCAGCACTTTCAGTAAATATGTCATCCCACTTTCTCCTGACCTATAAGGTTTCTGCTGAGAAGCCCACTCTTAGCCTTTTTGGAAATTTCTTATTTGTAATCTACTTCTTGTCTCTTGTTACATCTAAGATCCTCTCTTTTCCCTTGATTTTTGAAAGTTTGGTAATAATATGTCTGTGTCATCTTGTGTAGATTAAATCTGATTGAAGACTTTGGTCTTGTTGTACTTGGATTTTATATATTTATCCAAATTTGGAAAGTTTTCTATTATTTCTTTAAATAAGCTTTCTACTCCTTTGTCTTTCTTCTTTTTTACAAACTCTTACAACTCAAACTTTCGATACTTTTGATGCTGTTCAATAAAACCTGTAAGCTTTCTTCATTTTTTTGAAAGATGTTTCTTCAATTATTTTATTAACAAATATGAACATATTTTACTTTTCTGTGGCATATAAATAATTCAGACATCTTATGATTACCTATTACTTAATTTATCATAACATAACTTTAAGATTTAGTTACTGAAAAAAATTTTGAAACTGTGGAAAGTTTATTTATATACTCCTATCCTATTTACCTTCATTTCATGTAATTTATTCATTTAGTCTTTCCTTCATTTCAATAGGTTTTTGGGGAACACGTGATGATTGGTTATACAAATAAGTTAGTGGTGATTTCTGAGATTTTTGGTGTACCCATCACCTAAGCAGTATACACTGTACCCAATGTGTAGTCATTTTTCTCTCACCTGCCTCCCACCCTTTCCCCCATGTCCTCAAAGTCCATTGTATCATTCTTACGCCTTTGCATCCTCATAGCTTAGCTCCCACTTATGAGTGAGAACACACAGTGTTTGGTTTTCCATTCCTCAATTAGTTCACTTAGAATAATGGTCTCCAATTCCATCCAGGTTGCTGTGAAAGTCATTATTTCATTCCTTTTTATGGCCGAGTAGTATTTCATGCATATATATATATATATATATATCACAATGTCTTTATCCATTCACTGATTGATGGACATTTTGGCTGGTTCCATATTTTTGCAATTGCAAATTGTGTTGCTATAAACATGCATGTGCAAGTATCTTTTTTATATAATGACTTCTTTTCCTTTGGGTAAATACCCAGAGGTGGGATTGCTGGATCAAATGGATTTCTACGTTTAGTTCTTTAAGGAATCTCTACACTGTTTTTCCATAGTTATTGTACTAGTTTACCATACCATCAGCAGTGTAAAAGTGTCCCATTTTTGCCACTTCCCTGCCAAAATCTATTTTTTTTTATTATGGCCATTCCTGCAGGAGTAAGGTGATATTGCATAGTGGTTTTGATTTGCATTTCTCTGATCATTAGTGACACTGAGCATTTTTTCCTATGTTTGTTGGCCATTTGTATATCTTCTTTTGAGAATTTTCTATTCATGTCCTTAGCCCACTGTTTGTTGGAATTGTTTGTTTTTTGCTTGTGGATTTGTTTGAGTTTTTTGTAGATTCCAGATATTAGTCCTTTATTGGGTGTATAGATTGCAAAGATTTTCTCCCACTCTGTGGATTGTCTGTTTACTCTGCTGACTGTTCCTTTTGCTGTGCGGAAACTTTAGGGTTTAATTATGTCCCCTCTATTTATCTTTGTTTTTGTTGCATTTGCCTTTGGGTTCTTGGTCATGTAGTATTTGCCTAAGCCAATATCTAGAAGGGTTTTTTTGACATTATCTTCTAGAATTTTTATGGTTTCAGGTCTTAGATTTAAGTCCTTGACCCATCTTGAGTTGATTTTTGTGTAAGGTGGGAGATGAGGATCCAGTGTCATTCTTCTACATGTGGCTTGCCAATTATCCCAGCACCATTTGTTGAATAGGGTGTCCATTCCCCACATTTGCTTTGTCAAAGATCAATTGGCTGTAAGTATTTGGTTTTATTTCTGGGTTCTCTATTCTGTTCCATTGGTCTATGTGCCTATTTTTATACCAGTATCATGCTGTTTTGGTGACTATGGCCTTATAGTATAATTTGAAGTTGGGTAATGTGATGCTTCCAAAAATTTGTTCTTTTTGCTTAGTCTTGCTTTGGCTATATGGGCTCTTTTTTGGTTCCATATGAATTTTAGGATTTTTTTTCTAGTTCTGTGAAGAATAATGGTGGTATTTTGATAGGAATTGCATTGAATTTGTAGATTGTTTTTGAAAGTATGATCTTTTTCACAATACTGATTCGACTCATCCATGAGCATAGGACGTGTTTCAACTTGTTTGTGCCATCTATTATTTCTTTCAGCAGTGTTTTGTAGTTTTCCTTGTAGAGGTTTTTTATTTCCTTGTTTAGGTATATTCCTAAGTATTTTACTTTATTTTTGGAGCTGTTGTAAAAGGGGTTGAGTTCTTGATTTGATTCTCAGCTTGGTCATTGATGGTGTATAGCAGAGCTACTAATTCATGTACATTAATTCTGTATCCTGAAGCTTTGCTGAATTCATTTATCAGTTCTAGGGGCTTTTTGGGGGAGTCTTTAGGGTTTTCTAGGTATACAATTACATCATCAGCAAACAGCAACAGTTTGGCTTCCCCTTTACTGATTTGGATGCCCCTTATTTCCTTCTCTTGTCTGATTGCTTTGGCTCAGAATTCCAGTACTATGTTAAATAGAAGTGGTGAGAGTGGATATCCTTGTCTTATTCCAGTTCAGGGGGAATGGTTTCAACTTCTCCTTATTCAATATAATGTTGCCTGTGGGTTTCTCATAGATGACTTTTATTGCATTAAGGAATGTCCCTTCTATGCAGATTTTGCTGAGGGTTTTAATCATAATGCTGGATTATGTCAAATGATTTTTCTGCATCTATTGAGATGATCATGTGATGTTTTGTTTTTAATTCTGTTTATGTGATGTATCACACTTATTGACTTGCAAGTGTTAAACCATCCCTGTATACCTGGTATGAATCTCATTTGATCATGTTGGATTGCCTTTTGGATATGCTGTGGGATTTGGCTAGCTAATATTTTGTTAAAAATTTTTGCATCTATATTCATCAGGGATATTGGTCTGTAGTTTTCTTTTTGTTATGTCCTTTTCTGGTTTTGGTATTAGGGTGATACTGGCTTAATATAATGATTTAGGGAGGATTCCCTCTTTATGCTGTGGAATGGTATCAATAGGATTGATACCAATTCTTTTTTAAATGTCTGCTATAATTCAGTTGTGAATCTGTCTGGTCTTGGACCTTTTTGTATCAATTTGTTAATTAACATTTCATTCTCTCTGCTTGATATAGGTCTGTTCAGAGTTTCTATTTATTTTTTGGTTTAATCTAGGAGGGTTGTATATTTTCAGAAATTCATCCATCTCCTCTAGATTTTCAACTGTATGCATGTAAAGGTGTTCATAGTAGTCTTGAATGATCTTTTGTATTTCTGTGGTATTGGTTGTAGTACCTACTATTTCATTTCTAATTGAACTTACTTGGATCTTCTCTTTTCTTGGTTAATCTCACTAATGGTCTATTAATTTTACATTTCTTTTAGAAGAACCAGCTTTTTGTTTCATTTATCTTTTGTATTTTTTGTTTCAATTTCATTTAGTTCCTCTAATTTCTGTTATTTCTTTTTTTCTGCTGGGTTTGGGTTTCATTTGTTCTTTCTGTAGTTCCTTGACATGTGACCTTAAATTGTCTATTGGTGCTCTCTCAGACTATGAACTTTCCTCTCAGCACCACCTTTGCTGTATCCCAGACGTTTTGATAGGTTGTATCACTATTATCATTCCATTCAAATAATGGTTTTTTTTGAGATGGAGTTTTCCTCTTGTTGCCCAGGCTGGAGTGGCAATGGCATGATCTCGGCTCACTGCAACCTCCACCTCCCAGGTTCAAGTGATTCTCCTGCCTCAGCCTCCCGAGCAGCTGGGATTACAGGCATGTGCCACCACGCCTAGCTAATTTTGTATTTTTAGTAGAGACAGGGTTTCTCCATGTTGGTCAGGCTGATCTTGAACTCCTGACCTCAGGAGATCTGCCCACCTCGGCCTCCCAAAGTGCTGGGATTACAGGTGTGAGCCACCGTGCCCAGCCTCCATTCAAAGAATTTTTAAAATTCCCATCTTGATTTCACAGTTGACCCAAAAATCATTAAGAAGCAGTTTATTTAATTCCCATGAATTTGCATGGTTTTGAGAGTTCCTTTTAGAATTGATTTCCAATTTTATTTCACTGTGGTCTGAGAAAGTACTTGATATAATTTCAGTTTTATTAAATTTTTTGATACTTGTTTCATGGCCTATCATGGTCTATCATGGAAAATTTTCCATATGCTGATGAATAGAATGTATATTCTGAAGTTGTTGTGTAGAATGTTCTGTAAATATCTGTTAAGTCCATTTGTTCCAGGGTGTAGTTTAAATCTATTTTTTTTTTTGTTGATTTTCTGTCTTGATGACCTTTTTAGTGCTGTCAGTGGAGTACTGAAGTCCCTCACTATTATTCTGTTGGTGTCTATTTAATTTCCTAGGTCTAATAGTAATTATTTTATAAATTTGATAACCCCAGTGTTAGGTGCATATATATATTTAGGATTGTGATATTTTCTTATTGGACAAGTTGTTTTATCATCATATAATGCCTGTCTTTGTCTTTTTTAACTGCTGTTGTTTTAAGTTTTTTTCTGATATAGGAATAGCTACCCCTGCTCACTTTTGGTGTCCATTTGCATGAAATATCTTTCTCCAGTCCTTTACCTTAAGTTTATGTGAGCCCTTATGTGTTAGGTGAGTCTCTTGAAGACAGCAGATACTTGGTTAGTGAATTATTATCCATTCTGCCATTCTGTTTCTAAGTGGAGCATTTAGACTATTTACATTCAATGTTAGTATTGAGATGTGAAGTACTATTCTAGTCATTGTGCTATTTGTGGGATGAATACCTTGCTTTTTTATATTTATTTCATCTTTGTTTTATAGGTCTTGTGAGATTTAAGGGAGGTTCTATTTTGGTGTTTTTTGAGGATTTGTTTCAAGATTTAGAGCTCCTTTTAGCAGTTCTTTTAGTGCTGGCTTGGTAGTGGTGAATTCTCTCAGAATTTGTCTGAAAACAATTGTATCTTTCCTTCATTTATGAAGCTTAGTTTTGCTGAATACAAAATTATTGGCTGATAATTCTTTTGTTTAAGGAGGCTAAAGATAGGGCCCCAAACACTCTAGCTTGTAGGGTTTCTGCTGAAAAATCTGCTGTTATTCTGATAGGTTTTCCTTTATAGGTTACCTGGTGCTTTTGCCTCATAGCTTTTAGGATTCTTTCCTTCATCTCAACTTCAGATAACCTGATGATTATGTGCCTCGGTGATGATCTTTTGGTGATAAACTTTCCAGGTGTTTTTTGAGCTTCTTGTATTTGGATGCCTAGATCTCTAGCAAAACCAGGGAAGTTTTCCTCATTTATTCTCTCAAATATGTTTTCCAAACTTTTAGATTTATTTCCTTCCTCAGAGATTATTCTTAGTTTTCGTTGTTTAACATAATCCCAAATTTCTTGGAGGCTTTGTTCATTTAAAAAATTCTTTTTTTTTCTTTTTTTTTTTGAGACAGACTCTTGCTGTGTCACCCAGGCTAGTGCGCAGTGGCATGATCTCGGTCGGCTCCCTGCAGCCTCTGCCTCCCGGGTTCAAGTGATTATCCTGCCTCAGCCTCCTGAGTAGCTGAGACTACAGGCACGTGCCACCATGCCCGGCTAATTTTTTGTATTTTTAGTAGAGATGGGGTTTCACCATGTTAGTCAGGATGGTCCTGATCTCTTGACCTTGTGATCCACTCGCCTCAGCCTCCCAAAGTGCTGGGATTACAGGTGTAAGCCACTGCACTCAGCCCAAAAAAGTCTTCCTTCCTTGTTTTTGCTGGATTGGGTTAATTTGAAAACCTTTTCTTGGAGCTCTGAAGTTCTTTCTTCCGCTTGTTTGATTCTATTGCTGAGACTTTCCTGTGCATTTTTCATTTCTCTAAGTGTGTCCTTCATTTCCAGAAGTTGTGATTGTTTTTGATTTATGCTGTCTATTTCACTGAAGATTTGTCCCTTCATATCGTGTATCTTTTTTTGATTTTCTTAAATTGGACTTCACCATTCTCTGGTGCCTCCTTGCCTGGCTTAATAATCAACCTCCTGAATTCTTTTTCTGTCAATTCGGGGATTTCTTCTTGGTTTGGATCCATTGCTGGTGAGCTAGTGTGGTTTCTTGGGGGCATTAAATAACCTTGTTTTGTCATATTGCCTGAATTGTTTTTCTGGTTCCTTTTCTGGTAGACTATGTTAGAGGGAAAATTTGGGGCTCAAGGCTGCTGTTCAGATTCTTTAGTCTCCCTTGATGTAGTGCTCCCTACATTTGGACTGCTTGCTCCCTTGATGTAGTGCTCTCCCCCTTCTCCTAGGGATGTGGCTTCCTGAGAGCCAAACTGCAGTGATTGTTATTTGTCTCCTGGATCTAGCCACCCAGCAGAGCTGCCAGACTTGGGGTCGGTACTGAAGGGTGTCTGCACAGAGTCCTGTAGTGTAAACTGTTTTCATGTCTGTCAGCCATGGATAGCAGCACCTGTGCTGGTGGAGGTGGCAGGGGAGTGAAGATCCTTGGTTGCAGTTTTGTTAATTGCACTAGTTTTGTGTTGCTTGGGGAACTGCCAGGAGGTGGCACTTTCAAGAGAGAATCAGCTGCTGCGGAAGTATAGGGATGATCAGGTGGTAGCTAGAGAAAGACCAGCAAGTGGGGGCAGGGTTAGGTGTCTGAGCTCAGACTCTCCTTGGATGGGACTTGCTGCTACTGCTGTGGGAGATGGGAGTGTGGTTCTCAGGCCAATTAGAGTTACCTTCCCAGGGGGATTATGGCTTCCACTAGTGTGTCATGCAGGTTGCCAGGGAAGTTGGGGAAAGCTGGCAGTTACAGGCCTTACACAGCTCCCCCAAAGCAGCCCAAAAGGCCAGTCTTACTCCCACTGTGCCCCCACAACAGGACCAGGTTTGTTTCTAGGCAACAGGTGAGCAAGGCTGAGAAAGCAAGCAGGGCTTTTAGGCTTCCTGCCTCCCCGCCTGCTGCCCCACCTCCTACAGCTTCTGTGCTGTGTCTGCACTCCCAATTCACCCCCTCCCCTGAGTTCTGTCCAGGAAACTTTGCATTCAGTTGAAATTATTACGCAGTACAGCTGGAAGTTCCCTTCTCCCTGTGGTCTTTTCCCAGTTCCTCTGACAGCCATCCCCAAGGACCTCTTCAAGACAAAGTCAGAAATTGATTCCCTGGGGACCGAGAGAGCCCACAGGGCTCTTCTTGCTGCTTCTTCTATCCCTGTATTTCACTCAGCTCTCCAAATTTGTCTCAGCTCCAGGTAAGGTCAAATCCTTCTCTTGTGATCTGAACTTTCAGGTTCCACAGTGAAGGTCTACTTTTGGGGGCAGGTGTTCCCCCTTTAACATCTCTCCTGCTAATCTTTCTAACCTAGGAAGACCCTTGGATTCATCTCAACTATTGAGATAAATCAAGCGTTTGGGCATGTTCTACTTCCTAAGAACCCAACACAATCGATTATAAATTATTTAATAGTATCCTCTTTTGCCAAGTGTTATTGCTCTGATTTATGCTTATTTCATGGAAAGAAAAAAAAGACAAAGTTGGTTGATATTAATGTTGCAATATGAACAATGAAAAAACCATAAAGTAATACCCAGGAAGCCTCAGGAAAATACCTTATAAGGTTGGTAGCAGTGGCTCACTCCTGTAATCCCAACACTTTGAGAGTCCGAGGCGGGCGGATCACCTAAGTTCAGGAGTTCAAGACCAGCTTGGCCAACATGGCGAAACCCCATCTCTACTAAAAGTACAAAAATTAGCCAAGCATGGTGGCAGGCACCTGTAATCCCAGCTACTCTGGAGGCTGAGGCAGGAGAATCGCTTGAACCCAGGTGGTGGAGGTTGCAGTGAGCCAAGGTGGTACCACTGCACTCCAGCCTGTGCAAAAAGAGCAAAACTCCATTAAAAAAAAAAAAAAAAAAAAGAACATACCTTATAAGTTGTTGGATTTTAGCAGCTGAAAGCAAATGCTTTCATCTACTACCTAGCATCACCTACTAGGACAAGCTGTGAAGTGGGTTGGCTTGCCTAGTAGGGCAACACAGAGGAGTCTCAATAAGTCTTCCTGAATAGAGCATTTGTGTTAATTTTTAAAAAGGACACTTTGACAACAAAAAATGCTGCTAAAAAGTTGTAGCACTGAGGCTGAAATAAGATTTCATAAATATTAAGACAAGTATTAAAAAGTAAAATAATTTTTAAAAGACGTTTACAATTTTACCACAAGTTAAATTCCATAAAATACCAACATTTCAAGATGCAGGACTAGAGGCAGAAAACTATGAACTCATTGCTCATTTGTTTTATAAACACATTAGAGAAATTTAGGTGTAACTTCTATCTCATCTGTAAAACAAAAGTTGACTTTGTGCCTCTCTTAACAGATTAAATTATTTTAACTACAGAGTTTTAGATAACTTTTCTAGGAAGATCCTTGGATATTGGATGAAGGGAGGAAATAACTTTAGGTTCTTAGATTTAGTAAAAAATGCTCTCTATGCAATATATATAGTAGAAAATAAATACTAAATAGACATAAAAATAAGAAACTATGTAAATGAATCTAATGGTTCTCAGGGAAATATAAGTCAATCATATTTTAAAGTAAACTTTTTTTTCCCCCACTGGCTTACCTGTATTTTGAGAAAGACAAGTGATTCTAGGAAGATGAAAATTTATGAAAAGCTTTGGTCAGGCTCATATAGCTGTTCTTTTTTGTTTTGTTTGTTTTTTTGAGATGTAGTCTTCATATAGCTGTTCTAAAGACAAATTTTATGCATCACAAATAGAACAAACTTCTCTGAAGCCCTTTCATCACTAGAAATAAAGTTTATTTGTCTTCTGAGATCATATTTAAGGGGAAGAAATATATATATATTATTTTTTCAGAGAAAATATATGTATTTTCAGAGAATATATATGTGTATACACACATATACATATCTGTTTGTGTGTGTGTATATATATTTCCCCGTTGTAAAATAGTAAAAAAAAAAAAAGTATCCTTCTAAAGAAAGTGGTGAATTTGGTTTAAGATAAATAATTATGTAATTGGAGGAGTGTCTGGGATGTGTGTATCAGACATATTTTTGTGCTTTCCCTGTGATAGAATTCTCACTTAGCACAAGTCGTATTGCTGCTTATGCAGTCATCTTCCAAGGACGTTTATGCCCTGTTTGCTATTTCTAGAGCATTGTAAATCCCTACCAGGCATGCTGGGGAAGTGGCATACTTCAGAAATTGGGCAGATTTGTCTCATCCCCCCTGATGGGAGCATTTCTGTTTAATAGGGTGCTGTCAACAGGAAGGCAGAAGGAGTCAGTGTGGTTTGCTTTGAGTGTCAGATTTAAGCATTGGGAATAATAAATTTTCACTCCTTATGACTACATAAGTGTCTTCTTATTAAAAGTAAAAGTCACTGATCATAATGAACTTTCATTTTGCCAATTCAGGAAAGAAACTTAGAAGGAAGAAATAATAGCTAATATTGTCATATTCTCCTCTCACGTGCCAGATTCTTTTTTTCTTGTATATTCTTTAATCCCCAACAACAAATTTGAGGCTAATTTCGATTAAGTTATATCTGTTGTACAGTGGGAAAGAGAAATAAAGAAAGTTGCTCAAGTTCACCCAGCCAGTAAGTGGAGGAACTAGAACTGAAACCCAGGTTTGTCTTAGGCCCAAATTCTTAAGCATGGCATTATGCTGTTCTATAGAAATCCAGGAGAAGAAACAAGAATACTCCTGTTTTTGTTATCCTTGAATAGTAGCAGTTTATTTGTTCAATCACGTATTAAAGTATTTATTCAATAACTGTTCAACCAGTATCAATTTTATTTCCCAGAAGAATTCTACTAGAGAATAAGCTCCATGAGGCTGGAAGGGAGAAAACAAAAGTTTAATGTTGAATTTTTAGCGAGGTAGAATGCCTGGCATGTAGCAGGTCTTCAGTAAGTATTTGTTGAAGGAATTGAGAATCCATGGGAGAGTTGATGGACTTTTCGGATCATGGAATATTGGGTGGAAATGAGTAATTGATAATGTTTTCCTCGGGTCTCTTTTCATGAAATTGGAAATTTGATCTTAGAGTAGTGGAAGATAATGTAGAAGAGGAAGTCAGGAAAGGGTTCTAAAATATCTGCTCTTTTTAGAGCTTAATGATTCTTTGCAGTCATGTTGGGAAGAAAAGCCACTTTTTTTTCAGAATGTGAGCTAATTTTTCCCTTTGTCTTCAGCTTTCATTTATGGCTCTTGGAAAGCAGGACCTTCTCAGTCTTCCCTGCTGCCTTCAGACACAAGGTGAAGTAATTCTCCCTTTCTCAGAACTATTCCCAGGAATGTTTGGATGTATTTATAGTATGTGGAGTATTACCTCCCATGGGCATTTCACAGAAGATAGGGCCTTAAATCCATCAGTGAATGTCTAATTGCAGGATTTTACATGTCAGAAATCTTTGGGAATTATAGTCAGAGTAAGGAAACCAAGGCTGAATATTGCGGATGAAATGCATTCTGTGGTGCTTGAATTGATCCGACTTAGGGAGACAGTAATTTTTCTCCTGTTCAGTCAATCCTTCCATGCTGCAACACTCTAGTAATTTCCATCTATTTTCTCAACTTTTCTGCCACTAGAATTCATTCATTCATTTCTTCATTCATTTGTTCAATTACCATCTTCTGTGCTGGGCACTGAAGATATGATGAGAGAAAGGAATACAATTCTTGTCCCAAGGGAACTTGCAGTCAGAGGAGAAAGCAACAAGTAAACAAATCCAATATGGCTAAAATGGAATAGGAGCAATAATAGGCATATAATGGGCTGGAGAGCGCATCCCAGACAAGTCCACTCTGATCAAAGAGAATCAGGACAACATTTCTGTAATTCGTGATTTTTAAACGAGATCTGAAGGGTAACTGGTTAATAACCAGGCCAAATGTACAGGGAAGGCGGTGTCAGTCCATTGAATTTTTTATCTTCTGGTCTTCTTTTTCTTCTTCAAAGTTCAGTTTGGCTGGGGTGGTTAGAAATAAGTTGATGAATGATGAAAGAAAAGACTAGAAAAATACTTTCGGAAGCTACAGGTGTAATATGCTAAAGAATGTGGACTTTAACCTCAGCCCTTTGTGAAGCTTCCCATGGGTTTTTGACAGAAGATTGGTTTGATCAGCTTGGTGTCTTGGAAGAATTACTGTCTGCAGTATGCAGACAGGATTGGGGAGGCACAAGGCTGGATTAAAGTGTCCCAGTGAGAAGGCTGCAGAGTGATTCCTACGAGATGACTGTGGCCTACGAACACTGCAGGTTTCCAAAATGGCTAACCTAGAGTACAAACTTTGTAATAGAATAAAAGTATCTTTAAAAGTTAACCAATCCTTATTCTATGCTGATTCTACACTTAGCATCAATGAACTGCTTGTCACAAAATGGATTTGACCCTACCTGCCTAAGAGCTGTTTTCAACCACTTCGCTTAAATGTAGGTGATGTTCTTTCCCAGAGGATGCTCCTTTTCCTTGCAGAAAATATTTTCTTCTAATGGTCAGCTCTGTAAAAAACCTAGGAAGTGCAACACACAACAGTTACATCAATGAAGTTCCTTTCCTGAATTTAGCAGCTCTAGCAAAAGCAGAGTTCCTTTCTGAAGCTCTCCTTCTCTAGGATGAAAATAGAATGTCAAATTATAAAAATCACTATGCTGTCAGAACAATAAGGAGGGCTATAGAAATATAATGGCATGCATCATGCTCTCTTACACACAGCATGAAGTAAGCAGAGTTCTTAGCATTTCTTGGGTAAAATACTTAATTTATCCTTCTGTTCCCGGGTTATTATTTTTTCTTTATTTCCAGAAGGCGGTCATTTGCTAAATGGAATCCAGTTGCTCTAAAAGGGGCAGAGGCCTTCAAAAAAAAGAAAGCATTTCATTCTCTTCCTTATCCCATATTATTGCAGCTTTTAAATGACCCTCCAGTGACTATTATATAGCTTAGTGTTCAGTTCATGTGGCTCTTCATAGCCTTTAATATTTAGAGGACCTTTTGTTGGGGGTGGGGGCCAGGGGAGGTACATGTTATCATACGGGCATGTGAGTAAATGAATGAATAAAAGCGAAGGCAGTTCTTGAAGTTGGTTGAACAACACAACCAAGAGAGTAACTCCCTGATTTAACTACCTAGCTGTTTCTCTGGATTTCTTCCCTTATGAGCTTTCAAAATCGATTGAGTCTCTGGCTGTGAGCTAACCTGCAAAAAGAGATCTGTTCTCTTGTGGATAAAAAATGTGCAAAGCTGCTTGCAGGAAATAAAATATACCCTTAAAAGAAATGTTTAATGTAGAGCCAGCCCTAGTGGTTAGGGTGGGCTGCATCAAAGAGATTTTGAAAGCCCAGAGTGTCACTTATTTTAATGACAGCTCCAATGCCTCACAAATTGACTAGCTATTTTAAATATTAACCCAGAGAAAAAGAAATGTTGGTAAGGCTGAAATGTTGATTAGAAAGTTGTTTCTGAAGGATAAAAATGGCAGAGCAGATTATAGTCTTGCCTTGTTATCTTATGATACCAACTTTGCGGACCAGTTTGAATACTTGAGTCGTATTTACATCATTATATTTCCATGCAGTGGTGGTTGCTGTTAAAATGGCAGAGTGTTTATTAACATGAGCAATAAGATGAGGATGCACTTTAAGGTGTATGCAGTGAAACTCGCCACCTGCGGTGTGCTCCTGGGATGCCCAGCAGCTCTCTGATTGATGGATGTGCTCTCTGCCGCATTTGAAAGATGGCAAAATGGTATATGGAGGGAGTGAAGGAGAGGGGGTAGTTTAATCCACTTTCAAGTTTTCACTGAAATTGGCCCTTGTGGTATTTTTAATTGACATCTGGAGGAAAATAAATGTGGCGACCATTATTAACACATTCTGAAAGAAATAAGTCAAGAGCTACTTAGACTGCACAGGTGTCTGTTATCAAAATCTCAGCAGAGGAGTGTTAATATGGTGTGTGTTATTTTAGACTCCACAGGTGGGCTGCAGCTAAGAAGAGGAGAGAAGAGCACTAAGGGGGAGCTTAAATAGAAAATGTTAATTTTGAAAGAAAGAAAATTAGTGAAGGAGATTATAGGATTCCATTGGTACATGAGTTGGAGACTTCAAAGGATAACACAGGAAAATATAAAGCAAATGGCCATTTTACCAGGAAGAAACCTTCTAAAGAGATTTTCCGTAGCAGAGAAAAATGCGTCCCTAGTTTTCATTTCAGGAGAGTCTGCAGTTGATTCAGTGCCTTCCTGACAGCTCTTTACTCTTGACCAATTCATAAATGTCTAATCAAATAATATCACTTTGAGTAGAAAACTATTTACCGAGAATCTTACTGCACGGGTGGATTTTTTATTTGGTATTATTGAAATATTTCAATCACCCTCTATTTCTGAGGCTTTCTATCTAGAATCAAAAAGCTTGGAAATTAGTTTTATAGGGCTCTGATTTGGGTATTACATGGTATTGGAATTATAAATGGGGTTACCTTTCAAAACGTAAGTGGTAAGTCACATAACAGAACCATCTAATTTTGAATGCAAGATCCCTCCCCTAGGAGAATAATTTAGAACATGAAGCTAAAGACAGTACATGCCTTTCCAAAATAACATGCTACTAAGCAGTGGCCTGTCTGAAGGCACCTCCCATATTTTTGTCATCACACTCTCACATCAAACCTTGGCATGTTATGTGGTATGTTTTACATCCTGCATCCGACATTTGGAAGGCAACAAGAATTGCAGTTTGTCCATGTGGGAAATTGCAGTGTAGACACGTGATAAGAGGTTGAAACCTGTGGTAGAGTATGACCTACTCTGTGAGTATGTGTGTTTGTGAATGTGTGTGTGGTTGATGGGGGCACAGAAGTGTGTAGGCAGAGAAAGGTTTACTTAGTATTAGAAAATGGCATTACATGTAGATAGACAAGTTAGCCACTATTGTTTAGCTTTCTCTATGGCAACCAGCTCTCATTTGAAACTGTCACTTGATTTCTCGTTATTGTAGCTGTTGTTTAAGAAGTGATTAATGGGCCGGGCGCGGTGGCTCACGCCTGTAATCCCAGCACTTTGGGAGGCCGAGGCGGGCGGATCACGAGGTCAGGAGATCGAGACCATCCCGGCTAAAACGGTGAAACCCCGTCTCTACTAAAAATACAAAAAAAAATTAGCCGGGCGTAGTGGCGGGCGCCTGTAGTCCCAGCTACTTGGGAGGCTGAGGCAGGAGAATGGCGTGAACCCGGGAGGCGGAGCTTGCAGTGAGCCGAGATCCCGCCACTGCACTCCAGCCTGGGCGACAGAGCGAGACTCTTGTCTCAAAAGAAAAAAAAAAAAAAAAAAAAAAGAAGTGATTAATGGACCTGAGTTAATCTGCTCTTTCAAGAAAGGAAGCATTTCAGTCTCTTAGCCAACTACATGGTAGTACCGTTTCCTAGCTGATAAGTAGGAAAGGGACTAATGTATTTGTAATAAAATAGATGCAGTGGAACCAGAGCAATGATTTTGCAAAAAAATGAACATTCAGCGGCTCTACAGATTTCTCATGTGAATTAGGGCTGATTCGGAGAAAAAAAACAAAAACCCAAATCACTGTGGATTTTCTCAGATGAATTTCAGTATTCAGGAGGGTCTTAGTTTCTTCCTTAGCAGACAACAACACAGACATCCAGTAAGGGAGATTGATAGACCTCAGAAATGGGACAGGACACGGGTCTGGACCTCGTAGTAAAGATGCCACCACCACCCAGAATCTGGCAAGCTGGATGCCACCAAGGATAGTGCACTCTAGTTGAGAATAAAGCTTCTTATGTAAGATTATTAATGAGTTCTATCCTCAAATGATCCCTGCTGTATCACTGTTGCCTGGTAAGTAAGTATCTTCTCCTCCCTTTGGAGATTTAAAAAAATACAATTCTATTTCTTCAACAGACTAACAGAGCAATGTAACAATAGACATTATATGCAAAACATGTAAAATTCTTCCCAAAGGGCGGAATGTGTGCTAAAGTGGCTTATAATGAGGAAACCTAGGGAGAATCCTCCAACAAATAAGCACCATCATAAAGGAGGAGCCATGAGGTCTAATTAATGGAATTGAGTTTATAGAGAGACAGCTTAATAGGTTTTAAGTACCCTCAATAAATTAAATTAAATAATTAATGTAACATAAATTAAAAGGTAGAGTTAGAAAAATAAAGTTCATAATTATATTTAATCATAGCTGTATTGAGAATATAACACACAAACTATAAAATTCACCCATTTAAAGTATACAATGCAGTGCTTTTTATGATATTTACAGAATTGTGCAACTATCAACACTATTTAATCATGGCTTTTAAAATTATTATTGTTTGTATAAAACCTGGGTTCTACAAAAGCATACTACTTAGAATCTTGACCAAGCCACTTAATCTCTCTAGATTTTCTTTTTTGGTATGTGTACAAAAGAAAAATAAAATATTTGTTGAAAATCCACTATGTAAACAGGATGCCCTGATGGGGAGCAGTAAGGTAGAGTGACCACTCTATGTGAACAGCTCTCTGAGAAGCTACATTTGAGCTGGAATGAAACATTAAAAAAGAGACAAGCAAGTAAAAATCTGGGAATAAAGCCTTCCAGGCAGAGAGGTAAAGCAACAGTAAAGACGATAAGCGTAGACTGGACTTCCTGGGCTGAAGGACGGAAAGAAGCCCAGAGAGGCTAGTGCCAACTGAGTGATGGAAGAAGAGTCATGGAGGGAGACCTGGGAAGCTCTCAAGGTCTATGTAGTAGAAGGCCTTGTTGGATACTGCAATAGACTTGGATTCTATTCTAAGTTCTATGGAGAGGCATTAACTGGTTCTGAACAGCAGCCTCATGTTTATGTTTTTAATAGATTACTGCTATGTGAAGGAGGGATTTTAGGGAGGGATTGAAGGAATTAGGAAGATACTACAGGAACCTACTGTGGTAGTCCAGGCAAGTTGTGATGCTGGCTTGGACTAGGGTGGTAGCAGTAGAGCTGAGAGGGAAAAATAATACCTATCTCCAACTACTGGCTTCCTATAGTCTTAATGAGGTTCAAATGAGCAAAAGGGAACTTATATTTATTTTATTATTATTGTTTTTTTGAGACAGAGTTTCGCTTTGTCGCCCAGGTGGGAGTGCAGTGGTGCTATCTCGGCTCATTGCAACCTCCGCCTCCTGGGTTCAAGCAATTCTCCTGACTCAGCCTCCTGAGTAGCTGGAATTACAGGCGCCCGTCACCACACCCAGCTAATTTTTGTACTTTTAGTAGAGACACGGTTTCACCGTGTTAGCCAGGATGGTCTCAAACTCCTGACCCCGTAATCTCCCTGCCTCGGCCTCCCAAAGTGCTGGGATTACAGGCGTGAGCCACCGTGCCCGGCCTGGTACTTATATTTATTAATAAAGTGTTAGGGGCAGGTGCGGTGCCTCACACCTGTAATCCCAGCACTTTGGGAGGCCCAAGCCGGTGGATCACGAGGTCAGGAGATCGAGACCATCCTGGCTAACATGGTGAAACCCCGTCTCTACTAAGAATACAAAAAAATAGCCGGGCCTGGTGGCAGGCACCTGTAGTCCCAGCTACTTGGGAGGCTGAGGCAGGAGAACAGCGTGAACCCGGGAGGCAGAGCTTGTCGTAAGCCAAGATCACACCACTGCACTCCAGCCTGGGCAACAGAGCGAGACTCCGTCTCACAAAAAAAAAGAAAAGAAAAAAAGAAAAAGAAGTGTTAGCATATGTTGGTCTCTCTGGGCAAGATTTTAAAAATATGTTTTATTAAATTTTCCCAACAAACCAGTGAGATTGGTAGCCAACAAATATGACCAAATCTGTAAGTTGCAAAGTGCTTTGCAAATCTAAGAAGGTGGTATAATTACTATTACTGTTATCATGATTATGTGTAGGTTTAGGACTAGCTGTGGAAGCTGTCATAGGGCTGAAAATGAGTAGTGTCACGCATGCCCTCTTCAAAGAGCAAATGGGCTCCCCTCTTATATTTACCATGAATCTTTTTAAATCTATGATTGAAGAGGGCAAAACTTAACTACAGAGTTAATCAGCTGTCAAGTTTAAGCGCTAAATCTTGTCCATATAGCATGTCATGTATTCAAAAATCAAAAAGCACCATCTTTTCTTTTGTATGAATGAAAAAATTAAAACAAAATGAAGCAAATTTGTTCAGTAAATGCGTTTATTGTTTTCCACCTTCAATGAGGTATAATTGCCAAGTAAAAATGTGCTCATATTCTAGGTGTACAATGTGATGATTTGGTATGTGTATACCTTGTGAAATAAAACTACTACAACCAAATTAATAAGCACATCTACAACCACATGTAATTATCATTGTGTGTGTTTGTGTGTGGGCGGTTGGGGTGAGGACACTTAAGATGTACTCTTTTAACAAATTTCAAGTAAAAAATACAGTATTACTAATGATAGTCACCATGCTGAATATTAGATCCCCAGAACTGACTCATCTTATAACTGAAAGTTGCTACCCTTTGACCATCTCCCCATTTTTCATACCCTCCTGACCCTGGAAACTACCACTCTCCTCTCTTCTTATATGAATTTAACCTTTTTGTTTTTGTAAGATACCACATATAAATGAGATCATACAGTATTTTTCTTTCTGTGTCTGTCTTATTTCACTTAGCATAATGTCCTCCAGATTTATCTATTTTGTAAAAAATGGAAAGGGTTTTTTTGGCTGAATAATATTCCATTGTATACATAGCACATTTTCTTTATTCATCTGTTGACAGACACTTAGGTTTGTGCCATGTAATGCCTATTGTGAATAATGTGATGAACAAGGGAGTGCAAATATCTCTTCAAAGTCCAGATATTAATTTCCTTGGATACATACTCAGAAGTGTGATTGCTGGATAGTATGGTAATTCTATTTTTAGTTTTTTGAGGACTCTTCATATTGTTTTCCAAAATGGCTCTACCAACTTACATTCCTACTAACAGTGTATGATAGTTCTCTTTTCTCTGCATCTTCATCAACACTTGCCATCTCTTGTCTTTCTTGATAATAGTTATCATAATGGGTGTGAGGGGATGTTTCATAGTGGTATTGAATTCCATTTCTCTGATGATTAGTGATGTTGAACATCTTTTCATACCTGTTAGTCATTTGCTTGTCTTCCTTTGAAAAATGTCTATTCAGATCCTTTGCCAATTTTTAAATGGGTTATATATTTTCTTGTTCTTGAGTTGTATGAGTTCCTTATATATTTTAGATATTAACTCCATTATCAGATACATTATTTGAAAATATGTTTTCTATTCTGTGAGTTGCCTTTTCATTTTATTGATTGTTTCCTTTGCTGTGAAGAAGTTTTTAGTTTGATATAGCCCCATTTGTTTATTTTTATGTATTGTTTTGAGATGGAATTTTACTCTGTCATACAGGCTGGAGTGCAGTGGCGCCATCTTGGCTCACTGCAACCTCCACCTCCTGGGTTCAAGTGATTCTCCTGCCTCAGCCTCCTGAGTAGCTGGGGTTACAGGCATGCGCCATCACGTCTGGCTAATTTTTGTGTTTTTAGTAGAGACAGGGTTTTATCATGTTGGCCAGGTTGGTCAGGAACTCCTGACTGACCACAAGTGATCTGCCCGCTTCAGTCCGCAAAGTGGTGGGATTACAGGCCTGAGCCACCATGCCCAGCCTCTATTTTTGTTTTGTAGCCTATGCTTTTGGGGTCATATCTAAAATAATTTTGCCAATACTAATGTCAAAGAGCTTTTTCCCTATGTTATTCTAGGAGTTTCGTGGTTTTGAGTCTTATATTTAAGCCTTTGATTTCAGTTAATTTTTATATATGGTGTTCATTTTGATGGTTTTTATGTGGATATCCAGCTTTTCCAACACTATTTATTGAAGAGACTATCCTTTCCTCATTGTGTATTTTTTGGCATCTTGGCAGAGATTAGTTGGCCATATATATGTGGGTTTATTTCTAGGCTATTTTGTTCCATTGGTTTATGTGTCTGTTTTTTTTTATGCTGGTGTCATACTTTTTTATTAGTATAGCTTTGTAATATAAATTAAGATCAGAAAGTGTGATACCTCTAGATTTGTTCTTTTTCTTCAGGATTGATTTGACTATTTGGGGTCGTTTGTAGTTCCATATGAATTTTAGGATTATTTTGTCCATTTATGTGAAGAATATCATTGGTGTTTTGATAGAGATTGAATTGAATCTGTAGACTGACTGCTTTGGATAATATGGACATTTTTAACATTATTAATTCTTACAATCCACAAACGAGTTATCTTTCCATTTTTGTGTGTCTTCAATTTCTTTCATTAATGTCTTATAGATTTCATTGTCATGAATGTCTTAAAGATTGCAGTTACAGATCTCACTTCCTTGGTTAAATTTATTCCTAAGTATTTTATTCTTTTTGATGCTATTGCAAATGGGACTGTTTTCTTAATTTCTTTTTTAGATAGTTTGTTGTTAGTGTATAGAAACACAACTTATTTTTGCATGTTGATTTTGTGTCCTATAACTTTTGTAAATTCATTTATTAGTGCTAGCAGGGTTTCTTTGTACATATAGAGATAATTTCACTTATTCTTTCCAGTTTATATGTCTCATTTCTTTTTCTTGCCTAATTGCTCTGCATAAAACTTCTAGTACTATGTTGATTACAAATGGTGAGATTGGGCACTGTCTTGTTCTTGATCTTGGGGAAAATCTTCCAACTTTTCACCACTGAGTATAATGAATAAATCCTTTGAAATGAGGATGTGTCTTCAGTAGGCTAAAAAGATAAATACTCTGCTTTCAAGGAGCTCATTGTATAGTGGAGTATGAGAATAATTTGTTTAATGAGTACAGTAATAATCATCATCATAATTAA
Organism: Homo sapiens; assembly: GCF_000001405.40. Lineage (NCBI taxonomy): Eukaryota > Metazoa > Chordata > Mammalia > Primates > Hominidae > Homo > Homo sapiens. The sequence continues at coordinate 105,912,251 of NC_000010.11, read as the reverse complement.
CATTTATTGAGATCTTATCACATATCAGGCATTATTCTAAATATTTTACACTTAAAATCTTACGCAATCCTCACAAAAACCTCTAGTTTGGCAATATAAATAGTCCCATTCTATAGGTGACAATTTTCAGGTGATTCAAGTGATAAGTATTCTGAAAAAAAAATAGGCTGAAAGAGCACAGAACAGAGTGTTAGATCATTTTTTAAAATAGATATGTGTACTCCCTACAAAAATCTCCAATTTTTTTCAAAGAATCTTAAAAGGCTGGGCATAGTGGTTGACACCTGTAATCCTAGCACTTCGGGAGGCCAAGGTGGGCAGATCACCTGAGGTCAGGAGTTCAAGACCAGCCTTGTCAACACGGCAAAACCCTCTACTAAAAATACAAAAATTAGCTGGACGTGGTGGTGGGCGCCTGTAATCCCAGCTACTCAAGAGGCTGAGGCAGGAGAATCACTTGAACCTGGGAGGCGGAGGTTGCAATGAGCCGAGATCATGCCATTGTACTCCAGCCTGGGCAACAAAAGTGAAACTCCATCTCAAAAAAACAAAAACAAACAAGCAAAATACATCTTAAAATTGAATTAACCTTCACACCAACATAGTTTCTGCCAATCTATTTTATAGACTCATTGCTACAATCACTTGTTCATCAAGATCAAAAGCCATTAAGTGGCTTAAACTAGTATTAAAGAAGAGAAATCAGAGATAAAGGAAAATGTGGAGTTGGTTGTCAGTGAAATTATCATTTATTTCTGCTCCCTATTATCAGAGATTCAGAAATTTTTACATTATCCGGAGTGACAAATGTATCTAACTGGGTCTATCATGCGGTGTGCATATTATTCAGACCTTCTACATTCCAAATAAATGTAATCCTTTCATTTGAATTTTATGAAACTATACAGCTGTACTTATTCTTTGGATTTAGAAAGGATAACATGTTAAAGATAAAAAAGTTGTGGTCTAATGGAGTTAAATGACTTGCTCAAGTTCACAAAAGAAGTATTGTATCTGAGGTGTATCTGCAGTTTTGTTCTCGTGACTCCTGCCATTTCATTCACTCCTTACATTTATTCACTCATGTATTCATTCAATTTTTTATTTATACATTTATTTACATATTTATTCATCTGGTTTTATTAAGAACATACTGTTTGCCAGATCCTGTCTTAGGTGGAGGATCACAGCAGTTAATCTTCTACTACCACAGAGCTTAATATTTTAATGTATGAGATGGGGAATAAACAAAATAAATGAGTAAATATAGATCATATTAGATACCGATAGACATTAAAGATAAAATTTAGTAGATAAGTGCAATTGGATTTTTTTTTCCAGGGGAGGAGTACAATATTTTAGATAGGTTGACAAGGAAATCCCTCACTGAGAATGTAACTTTTGAGAAAAGCCTTGAAAGCAAACATAGGAGTGAGTCTTGGGAACAATTATAAGCAGATGGAATAACTTAGCAAAAATCTGAGGCACACATGTGATTGGCACATTTGAGGAATAATAAGGAGCCCACTATGGCAGCAATAGGGTGAGCAAGGGTGAAAGTGGTGAGAGAAAATATCAGACATATAAGAGGGGGCCAAATCCTGTTCTTCTCTGAAGGTAGCAGTTAGAATTTGGGTTTTCATGTGAGTGAGATGGGTTGCCCACGGAGAGTAGTTTCCCATCTTATTTACATTATACCATAGTGGTATGAGTGGCCTCATCCCTTTATAGGACACAGACTGCTTTTTTTAGTAAAATGGCTTTAGCCCAGTTACAGAAAATAATAATGTACATGCCCTTTCACTTTATGAACCCTATAGTTCTATGAATGGCAAGGAATATTAAACAGAAGAGAAAAGCATGTATAATTGATTTTGAATTCATTTTAAGACTTCAATAGAAGGGGTGATATAATTTCTTCAGTTATATCTTTGAAAGAAGCACCGAGCTACATTTCTAAAGGTGCCAAGATAAATAACATTAAGAATATATCTTGAATGATTGAAAAATCAAAGCAAGCTGGCATTAAGTCTTAAATTCTCATGGCTTTATATAAAAAAAAGTACTAGAAGGACTTAGTTCCCATTATGTTCCAACACAATGAAATATGACATTTTAATGAGAAATGCCACTATTCTGGGTTATAAAAGGACAACAAAAATGTTAAAACCAGTCAACATCACTGGGGTTCTTCCCTCCCACCCCCTTCATATACTCAGTATTTCATTTTGATATACTTGTCAGGCCCTTTGTTTTCCTTTGAGAAGATAGAGGAAATATTACTCAACATTTATTTATGGCTGTCATTGTTTTTAATATCGAACAGATATAGAATGAATTTTCTCTTTGTGTTTGTTGTTCTTAATCAAAATCTTTAATAATAAACTTTATTTTTTTGAATCCTAGATGCCCTTTACAAATATTACTTAGTCAAACTTTATTGCTCTCTGGAGAAGGTGGTTTGTGCTGGGTATAACTCTCTTATTGACAAGTAAATTAAGATACCAAGACACTGTCACCACTCACTAGGTAGAAGAGAGAAGCAGAAACAGGCAACTTAAGTGTGCTTCCTAGATTTTGCTTCAGTAGTGGAGCACACTTTATAAGTGGTATGATAATTCCAAAAAAGTAACAGGAATTTGATAGACAATAATCAATTTGGGGAAACATGGAGGAATTCAGCTATATTAGAGAAGACCAGAGCTGAGGACACTATCTCTTGCTAGTTGGTTATAAAGAGTCCTAAAAGGAGGTAGCTATGTTAATAAAGAAGCAAAACAACCTTCTTATAACAGATCAAACTGAATCTTATATTTGACTCCCTTTTGAATTGTCTGGCCCATTAGAGTCCTAGAGTGTTTTATACAGTCTAATCAGCCACTTGGGAAATTTTATGTTCACCTGTACTGCCAACAAGCTAGATAAGGGACATAAAATAGTCTCACAGGGGTTCGCTTTTGTCCAAGATTTATGAAGCTCAAAAGAAATCTCTTTTTTTGTCCAGCATTTCACATTTTCTTCTGATTTAGCCCTCTAGTAAAAACAAAACAAAACAAAACAAAAACAGCAAAAAACCCACCGCCCATAAGTACCACAGGTGGCAGATGTGGATAATGAAGGAAACATTATCAGGACAGTATATTTTATATTTCATACCAAAATCAACTTTTAACCCTAGGAAATTCATGTAAATGTTTGACCTCTTATGTTCTTCAGCTTCTACCCATAAATGCTGAAGATTCTAGCTGAGAAATCAAATATTCAGCATGCCACGGATAATACACATCTCCCAGGAGGGCAATGCAATATTCTAAGACATTGGAAGAGGAGGTTGTAATACTGTGGCTGTGCTTGATAGATAATGAGACATATGCTGGAGAACTCTGAAATTACTTCCTGCAAAATGACAGGGAGTTGATATATAGTTTGGAACTGTGATTCCAGACCTCCATTGCTTAAGAGGAAAGTCCCAATGACTTAATAAGAATCCTTGTGGGTTGTTTCAATTATCCATGTTTGGATTGTCTATCTCTACCTGAAAATACATGTCTGCTACTTGTGTTAATATTTATTCTTCTGAGATTCAAACATTTCAATAATATAGATTATTAAGTCTGGCTTTCACCTTTTACAGCTGAGATCTGGAGTAGTCACATCTCATAAGTGTTTGGTGGATGACCTATTCAATCCAGATAAAAATCCATGATATAGTGTGAAATAATGCATGCATGCATACATACACACCTTAGCCTACATGCATTTATTTTAGCAAACACCTACAATATACCAAGTACTGTATGCCTTTTGTCTATTCTCCCTGTAACCAGTCCCTGTCATTTTATAAAACTCAGCTAAAGCATTACCTCCTCCAAATTTCACCTCCTAACCTCCAACCTGATTTAGCAGTTTCTTTGCTATTCTCCCATAGCACAAATGCAGGTCTTTATCAGCACACATAATCACACTGAAACGTAACTTTTGAATTACTTGCCTGCTGCCCCTCACACACCCCACTAAACTCTAGCCATGAAAACAGGGATCATGTTTGTATTTACTATAAAATCCTTTTTATATGATAAGCTAATGAATTTAAATTTCATCCTGAAAGCATTGGAAAGACAAACAATACTTTTATGTAGGGAAGTGATAGAAACAGATTTGTGTTTCCAAGTGTTCACATATGCTGTGGTGTAGACTATAGCTTTTATCCATATTCTATAGTGATGAATGGCAGTAAGAACAACTGGACAATTATTTTAGTAATCCAAGTAATAAAGCATGGAGTTTGAATAAAGGCAAGGTATTTATAGAAAGTAGGGTGGAGAGAGAAAGAAAAGATTTTTAGTATTAAAGCTTTTAGAGATTTGGAGAGTGAATCTACTCTTTCCTTATATTCAATCAAGGGTATTCATATGGGATTCAACTTGTACTTTTGATGGCAACAATTTATGAAACAGTAAATAAAGTATAAATATACAAAATACAATACATTTCATTTTTAACATGCTAACCTTGAACTATTTATTTGTATGTCCCTCAGGGGTCTCAAAGTGGCAGGGAGCATGACATCATCCAGGAAGAGTGTATCACATGGGACATAGGGGGACCTTAGATGGAACTTAAAAGGAATAAGGATACTAAATTATGAGGACTTGGGGGACACTAGGGAGAGCTATCCAACTGGTTGCAACACAAAGAGTAGTGAAAGAGAAGTTGTTGATTAACCTTAGGACAACAACTTAGGCTTAATTATCTTACGCCATTCTTTTTTATGAGACAGAGTCTCGCACTGTTGCCTGGGCTGGAGTGCAGTGGCACCACCTCGGCTCGCTGCAACCTCCGCTTCCCAAGTTCAAGCAATTCTCCTGCCTCAGCCTCCTGAGTAGCTGGGATTACAGGCACGCACCACCACACCCAGCAATTTTTGTATTTTTAGTAGAGATGGGATTTCACTATGTTGGCCAGGATGGTCTCGAACTCCTGACCTCGTGATCCACCCGCCTCCACCTCCCAAAGTGCTGGGATTACAGGCGTGAGCAACTGACCTTACATCATTCTTAATCAGCATTGCTCTCATGGGGTCTCACTCATCAGGCGTTCATCTCTTCCATTCTTAATCTATAACAGCAGTCCCCAACCTTTTTGGCACCAAGGACCAATTTCATGAAAGACAGTTTTTCCAAGGACCAGGAGGGCAGGTCATGGGGGATGGTTTCAGGATGATGCATTACATTTATTGTGCACTTTATTTCTATTATTATTACATTGTAATATATAATGAAATAATTATACAACTCACCATAATGTAGAATCAGTGGGAGCCCTGAGCTTGTTTTTCTGCCACTAGTTGGTCCCACTGGGGGGTGATGGGAGACAGTGACATATCACCAGACATTAGATTCTCATAAGGAGCTCACAACCTAGCTCCTTATGAGACCTAGTGCACATTCCTCGCATGTGCAGTTCACGGTAGGGTTCGTACTCTTATGAGAATCTAATGTCACCACTGATCTGACAGGAGGCTGTGCTTAGGCAGTAATGCAAGCAATAGGGAGTGGCTATAAATACAGATGAAGCTGTGCTCACTAGCCTGCCGCTCACCTCCTGCTGTGCAGCCCACTTCCTAACAGGCCACAGACCAGGGACCCCTCATCTCTAATCCTGTTCTGCTAAATACTATATAAAGAACAAACTGTCATTCTCCAATGAGCGTACAGTAAAGACCAAAGATTGGGTAAGACTCTCTCTTTTCTTTTCTGTTCCCAGCATGGTTCTTTCATAATAAACCAATTCTTACTTTCATTCTCCCTCTGAAAAACTCAATTCATTGTAAATTGAAACAAATAAAACCCTACATAATACAAATTGCATTCAAGGTGTTCAGTGATTTGTTGGCTGATGATATCAAGAGATTGTTTTATCAGCTCTGAAAGCAATATTCATCACCATTTTGGCAGCTTTGTCACTCACATTTGGAAGCATCCCTTATGTTTAACTGAGGAGTAAAGGCAAGGACGAGCTCTTAATGTAAAAGCGTAGAGGTGCAATCATTCTAGGTTTCTCTGCCTAACTTCTCAGATTAAGAAAACAAAACAAAAAACAAGTGAGTAATTCCAACCTAAAAATGTCAATGTTAAGTCCAGGTTGTTATCTCATGCCCTGTAAACGTGGATGATAATTTCTTTTTCCCTGAGGCAAAATATAGAAAATATCAGGTCATGTTAGTAACAAAGTTTGGTCCAGTTGAAGTTGCTGCTTCAGAACTCTTGCCTCAGTTTTGGCAGTTAACAAGTTGGTCTGAAGGCATAGCTCCTCAATATGAAACTTTAACAAAAGAGTCACCAACAAAGCACATTTTTGGCAAATCACTTTTGTGTTGGAAGAGGAGTGAGATTTTGCATGAGAAGCTCACAGAACCTTTTTTTGAAAAATAGCAAAAAAGTATCAAAAAGCTTGAGGTCATTTCTTGATTCTGTGGTTAATGGTAGCATATTATTTCAACATTAGACGTAGGCTCTTTCCTTACTAAATTGCAGGAGTTTAGGCAAAGGTAATGGCAGCTACAAGTGTTCTTTAGGAAACAGAATTCCTACTGGGCTTTTAGGAAAAGTGTCCACAAACTCTTTGCCTTCAGGTCATATCAGGTCCTCATATCTAATTTAGAACACAATCCACTCTTCTTTGCTCCCTTGGGTTACCCCATGCTATTTACCCAGCGTATTTGTAGAGCACACTTTGCCAACTAGTGTTCTGCAGATGATGTACTAAGAGTTTAAAATATTAGTTGTTTTGTTGCTTTCATATAATAGAAAGCCAGGGATACAGGGTTTAGGCAAAAATATTCTATTTCACTAATTTGATGCAACATAGAAGGTAGAGATACCCACACCTTTTGTTCTTTTACTAGCTGTCTGCACTCTTTTAAATTGCTGAAAGCTGAAAGTGAAGAAGGTCGCTCAGGCTTTGTCTCTGTAATGGCAAGCAGCTGCTTAGTTTAGCTTCAACGCTTAGTGAGCAAAAGGTGAAGAGTCAAACTAAGCCATTTTCAGGATGATGTGTGCTTACAGTAGTCAAGGAAGAATTTAAATATATATATATATATATATATTTGCTAGAGATGAAGAAAATGAATGTGCAAAGAAGGGAAATAACACATTTAGAGTCACTGTGTGCATTGTACCAAGCATTTTCTGTTCTCCCTTGAAGTTTCATGTTAGTATTATTTTCCTGCTTTCAGGAGTATAGGTGTGGTCATGTGACTGGTTTTGTCCAGTGCAAATTTAGCAAAAGTAGTATGGGTTACTTTCATTTAAAAGCATTAAAAGTCATGTGTAAGTTTTTGTACCCATTTTTCTATCAGGGAAAACATGGAAGCAGGGAGATGGAACATCCCTCTGGCTCAGTCCCTGAGTGAGGACAAGATAGAGCAAAGCCTCCTAGCTGACTCATAATGGGCAAGTACTGTGAGCAAATAATACACTTTTTACTCTTTTAAGCCACTAAGACCTGGAGATTGTTTATTTTATTTTATTTTTAACACTTATTGTTTTATTGCAGCACAATCTAGCCTATCCTGAGTAATATATTCATCTAGTAAGTGGAATAGCCAGAGATAGAACCCAAATGTCTTACTTGTAGCCCAGGTCTTGGCCTATACAAAGCTTTGTGTAAAAATGCACACCAACACATGTGCCCAGTCACATATGGTCAAACGGATAAAGCATCAATTCTGTGTGCTAGATAAGTGATGTTTATGGCTGCTTCATTAGCTGGCCTTTAGAAACCATGTACGGCCTTGGTATGACACCTACAGTTTAGATGTCACACAGAAGTGCAACCTTGTCCAAAAGTATGATCACAGAAGGAAGTATTCTCTTGCTCTTTAGCCTTGCATTTCTCTCTCTACAACTCAACCCTAACCCCCTTTCTCATGTTGATGTGTGTCTACTGGGATTGTTTATAATTATCTGTTGAGATTGAATTCAATTGTAAGTTACCACAAAAACCAAACTAACAGTGCCTTAAATAAGAATTTTTTTCATATCAAATATTTAGAGGTTGGCAGCTGTTGATGACATCTTTGAAGTCCAGATCCTTTCTTTATTTTCAGTCTTTAGCATATTGCCTTCACTCTTCTGCTTGCAGGAACATGGTTGTAAAATGAATGTTGCAGCTCTAGCCATCACAGCCACATTTAGAGCAGGACTAACAAAAACATAAAGGAGGGCAGTGCTCACAGAGTTCAGTTTAGTCTTATGGGGCAAGACTGTGACTTATGCATGTTCCCTGGGGCAAGAGAGGCTGGCAAACTGCAAACCAGAATTTTTTTTATTGTCATAGAGTAATCCACGATTTGAAAGTGAGCATATTCTTGTCCAGAACAACACTGGGGTTGTTACCTGCAAGGAAAAAGAGGAAAATGAGTACAGTATTTGTCATGCCACCTGTTCAGGTTTATTCCAGGTCCTGAGATGAAAGATGATATCACCTCAGTATATCTGAAGAAGAAGTGTATTGCCCAATGCTCCACAATTGTTAATGTAAGAGCATAGAAATAGAATGTGCTCTAGGACAATGAAAATTGTGTATAGCCCTTCTACTCGAGGTTCATACAGTTCTAGCTACTTTTGTCTTCATGAATTAAGGCCCTTGAGTCACGTTAGAACAAAGATTGAGAGTGCTTGCCTGCATAGCATTGTTGGAAAATTATAGGAATATACTCAATGAGAGATATGGCTCATTAATTCTAGTTCTTGCTAAGTTCACTGGAGTGGTAACAAGCACCAGGCTTTGGATTCCATTAAACCTGGATTTGCCTTAAGGATTTGCTATTTGGCAGTTGTATGACCACATGTATAGCTCATTTTACCTCTGTGATTTTCACTTTTATATGTGTGTGATAACCCTAAACTTTAGGACTTTCAAGTAATTTAAATTATAATAGAAAACTAGTATCTATGAACATTACTCATATGTTCTTCACAAAATAAAAGCACTAAGGACAACTTAGAAAGTGATGCAGTGGAAGGAAAATCATGAGAAGGTTGCATTTCTTGGTAATAAAATGTTGGCCCCATGTTCCACCAGGAATTCTATTTTTCTACGCTACTTCAAACACTCTCCATAACCTTTGGACAGAAAAAAAAAATCTAAGAATCCCTCCTATTTCTTTCCATTTCTCTAAGCCTTAGCTATTGGCTAAGTGATTCTTTAAATTTTTCTTTATGCCATAGTGTTGTATAATTTATAAAGAACACTCTCTCCTGTCTTGTATTATTTAATTCTCCAACGTGTTTGGAGAGAGGATTTTACATGAAAGCAGTGACACAAAATAAAGCGGCATTGTACCAGTGTCTTGCATCTTTAATAAAGTTGCTCTCAAACAGCATTTCACTAAATGAAATGTACCCAGGAAAGACAAATTTTCATATATCAAAGGTATGCTCCGACCTGCTCTGGGACATAAAGCCTAATGCCATAATAGAGCCCAGAGGTTTGTGTTTGATTTGATTTGTCTTTCTTTTGTTATTTCCTTCTAAAGGAATATTACCTACTTTCCAAAATAATAATCCTAAGAGTAAAAGCCCATCTCATCCAATGGCAGAAAAAAAAGCACTATTAAGGTTGGAGACAGTCAGTGGCACTGTTCTATCTGAAGTTTTTTTGGAAAACGCACACACACACACACACCCCACAATACACACACAACAGGGAAAGTAAAGGGGGCTTTGTCAACTTTAATTATTTATAATACATATCTAGGAGTGCTCCAAACTTCATTCTGCAAGAAACTGACAAACACAAAACAAAGAAAAAGGAGAGAATCCCTGAAGGACTTAGTGTATTATGAGTGAGAGCTATAATAAGGACATGTGGGTATAGATGGAATGGTTAAAATACAGCTAGGGAAGAAAAATGGAGTCAACCCTATTTGGAGTGAGATGGCAAAAAATGCTTGATGACCATGATATCCCCATCCTGATGATAAGCATCATGCGACAGCCATGCTACTAATCAGCCAGCCTTCTTCTCATTCCAGAGTGAGCTGTTTATTATAATGGGAAATAACAGTCTTTTAAGGCCATAGAAATGCCATGTTTGTCATCTATTGGACAGATTTCCTTTTTCCTCAGGCAGATGTCTCCATGGTAAAAATTGAGGGGCAGGGAGCAGAAAGCACTGCTTCTACACAATGCCTGATGGGGAACCGAAGGGTGCAAGGCAGTGTGATACTAGTCCATTAAGTCACTTTCTTTTGGAATTTGGAAATGTGTTAATCTCCAAGTTCAAGTTTCTTCTGTTGAAAAGTAATTATCTCTTCGAATAATAATACCAAAGAGGCTGTCAGGTAACTCACAGGGCAAAGGTCCTATGAAGGTGAGAGTGGTAATATGATCTGAGGTAAGAGCTGGTAAGAAGTGCTCAAAGTCTGAATATATTTTAGCTACAGCCAACAGGATATACCAATGGATTAAATGTGAGTGTATGAAAAGAGGTGTCAAGAAAGAATCCACCTACTAAAATACCAAAGCATGGACTGGGAGCGTGCGTACCCTCTGTGCTGGCAATTGGCCCTGGAAAGGGCTGAGGTTGGAAAAGGAATAGAGGACAAGGAGGATTTCAAGGTCATCAATATGTTCTACTTACTATATATGCAAAAACACAAAAATAAAAATATTACATAAAAATAAATAATTTGTTAATTTTGCCATAAGCCACTAAAACACCAAGAGTCTGGGTGAAAATAGGAATATCCTGAAGCCTTAAATTTGGCTGTAGTTTTGATCTACAACCTTGGCCTATTCAGCTTGTAAATTTTGTCACCCTCTTTCTCTTGGTTTAGACCTTTTACATTGGGACACAAGAGACACGGTCACCCAATTTATACTGCATTATGAATTTGTTGCTCATACAAATTGGCCTCAGGGCAAGGTTGATTTTGCTTCATTCCACCTAGTTTGTTTAAATTCTTAACACATTATGTAATTCTGTATCTGTGTAATAAACCCTTTAGAAGTAGAAGTGTCACGTTTAATGGCCAAAATGAATCAGTGATTTCAGTTTCTTTTACTACATGAGAAATGTTTGTGAGAGGGAAATTTGACAGTGATGTTGCCATTGTTCAATCTAACTAGAAAACCTGATATGCAAAAACAAAGCCAAGAAGCCTGTGCTTTGTTCTCAAGTTATTCCATCAAATAAGAATGTCTATTTGCTACAAAGCCAAACTTTTTGAGAAATGGCCAGGCAAGGAAGAACTATGTCTAAACTTTTAGAATTCCTGTGACTGCGTAATGTTAAGTTAAAATCAAATTTTCTGTGAGAGGGAGGTGGTTCCTTCATCCCCTCAAAGCAAGAAATTCTTCTCAAATTATTGTAATACTGTCTTGAACTCAAGTATGCTAGGATGGAGTTGAATATTCAGCTCCTGAGCTGGAGTACAGACCATCTAGAATCACAGAATTCTCCAACTCATTCATTTCCAAGTACTGGTGGAGTACTGTCTGGTCTGTGATGTGTAGCTTCAAGGATCTACAGAAAACTGGTTTCAATAGAAGATATCCCCTTTAATCTCAAAATCCTATTATTTAAGGCTTAAGCAGTATCTCCAAGAGCTTTTCCACGATTTACTTCCATCCTCCTTATCGTCTTTCTTTCTTCATGCTCTAAACTTTAACTGCCTGGATTCAAATCTTAGTCTCACCCTTCATTAGTAGGATGACCTCAGGCAAGTTACTCAATCTCAGTGAGCCTCAATTCTCATCTAAAATGAAAAACTCAGAGGGGAGTAAGGTGAACATACAGTACTGCCTCAGCACATGTGAACATTTTCACATCAACTGAGTTCTGGGCAGATACATATTGACGTGAAAAAGACAGAGAAATAATAAGACATGAACTAATCAAGATCAAGATGCATTATTGATATGTGAATTGCATTGATACTATGGGAACAAAGTGGAAAAATTGAGGCATTGAAACACATTATTTGCTAGTCTTTCCTAGCATAGGACAACAGTGTGTTAAATATTTCATGAAGCATTGACTGTATGTGGACGTTAGTGGCTTTGTGCTAAATGTGTATAACTGTACTTCTTCAAAGATATTCTCTTTGTATGAGTCCTTCAGTTATTTATGTTCACATCATTTGTCCTATATTCTGTGTAATTGTTGTCCAGACTGTACATTTAAGAGTTACTTATTATTGACATCAATGGCCTGCCTCTATTAGCGAGGAACACCTTTATGTTTTAAGGTAAGAACCGTGATGAAATTTTTTTCATTAGATTTCAATTGAAAAACTAATTGTTCATTATCGGCTATCTAAAATTACAAAGAAAAAAGAATGAAATTAAAATTCCATGTAACCCTGCATAAACTCAGAGTTCAGTACATTATTATTTCGATGAATAAAATTCTGACTTTCTTATTTTACGTGTATGCAGGTGTTTGTAGATATATGTTTGTATTTGGTTGAGTATAGATTTTTAAGCAAATACAGAATTGTGTGGATATACATTATATTTTATGACAGCCTTTTAAAAAGTTAATATTACTGATTAGTTTCTTATTTCATAAGTAACAAATTATCACAAACTTGGTGGCTTAAAACAACATAAATTTATTATGTTACAGTTACGGAGGTCAGAAGTTTGAAATGGTTCTTACAGGCTAAAATCAAGATATTGTCAGAACTACATTCTCTCTGCAGGTTCAGGGACAATCTGTTTTCTTGCCCTTTTTGAGCTTCTAGAGAACACCTGCATTCCTTGTCTGTGGTTCCTTTCTCCAATTTCAAAGCCAAGCCAGTGGTAGCATCTCTCTCTCTCTGTCTCTCTCCCCCTCCCTCCCTCTCCCTCTCTCTCCCTGTTTCTCCTTGTTTCTCTCTCCCATTTCTGTTTCTGTTATCACACCTTCTTCTCTGATACCTGCATAATTCAAGTTTATCCTCCCATCTCAAGATCTTTACTGTAATCACATTTGCAGATTCTTTTTTTCTGTGTAAAGTAACCCATTGACAGGTTCTGGAGATTAGGACATAGACATCTTTGCAAGGGGTGCAGTATCCTCTCTGCCACAATTACATTGCACATATTTGCATTATATGGAAGATTTAACACACACATTTTTGTATACTACTGTGCTAATGAAACAATAGAAAGGGACAAATACATTTTAGTTAAAGCTATGAACCCTACACGTCTAATGGAATGGAAAAGTAGACCACAGCAAAGCAATTTAAAGAGTTTTAGGTAGATGGGAAAAATGCAAAATGATTAAACAGAAAGGAGAAAGTTGAAACATAAGTGCCTACAGTGGAATGATGGCAACAAAATGAAGATTAATCATGGTCAGTATCCAGGAAAAGTCCTGGATACAGTAGTGTTTGGAAACTCTTTAAACTGTGCCGAAAACAAAATGAACTCCTAAAAGATTATAAGAGAAGCTATTAAATTACCAGAGATACCCTCCTTCTTTTCAGTTAGGCAAACATACCTACTCTTTCCAGGCTGGTGAGAATTCCCTGGAGAAAAATAACTGGAAAGTCTTCGAAGATATATGGAAGCCCAGCATTGGAGGACAGAGTGACAGAGTTCACTGACAATTAGGGATTAACTAACACTCTGCATATAAATAAGTATGACCTCCATTCTCCTTTTGTTCAATCTACAGAATACTGGTTCTGAAGCGTAAGACGATTACAGAATTCTCCTCTGGAGTAACTGATTAGTCCCCTCAAAAATATTTCACCCAATATCATTCAGGTTTCTCCAATAAAATGGCTCCCTGATCAACCAACAATCAGACCTACTATCAACAAATATGGATCTTCCAATCAGCTTTTCAGTGACTTGCTGTAACCTATGGATAGACACCAAATCACAGCAGATATTTGAGTGAGGAAGAAAGATACAAAATAACCAATTAAAAAGAAACAAATTGAAAAAAATGGTCATTGGATAAATAAAAGATAACTTCTAAAATAAGATAATGGTTAATAATCTATTGTGTATTTCAAAATTGCTAGAAGAGAGAATTTTATCCAAATGATATCTTTAATTTTATATACTTTAGTGATGAGTATTTTCATCAGAAATGGCAAGTATTTGAGTTGATAGATACATTCATTTCCCTGATTTGATCATTATGCAATGTATATATGTGTTGAAACTTAAGTGTACTGCATAAACAGGTACAATTATTAAGCATCATTTAAAAACAAAATGAATCTATAAATTACTTTGGGCAGTATGGCTATTTCACGATATTGATTCCTCCTATCCATGAGGATGGAATGTTTCTCCATTTGTTTGTGTCCTCTCTTATCTCCTTGAGCAGTGGTTTGTAGTTCTCCTTGAAGAGGTCCTTCACGTCCCTTGTAAGTTGTATTCCTAGGTATTTTATTCTCTTTGCAGCAATTGTGAATGGGAGTTCACTCATGATTTGGCTCTCTGTTTGTCTATTATTGGTGTATAGGAATGCTGGTGATATTTGCACATTGATTTTGTATCCTGAGACTTTGCTGAAGTTGCTTATCACCTCAAGGAGTTTTGGGGCTGAGATGATGGGATTTTATAATATATACAATCATGTCATCTGCAAACAGAGACAATTTGACCTTCTCTCTTCCTATTTGAATACCGTTTATTTCTTTCTCTTGCCTGACTGCCCTGGCCAGAACTTCCAATATATGTTGAATAGGAGTGGCGAGAGAGGGCGTCCTTGTCTAGTGCCAGCTTTCAAAAGGAATGCTTCCAGCTTTTGCGCTTTCAGTATGATATTGGCTATACGTTTGTTATAGATAGCTCTTATTATTTTGAGATATGTTCCGTCAATACCTAGTTTATTAGAGAGTTTTTAGTGAGAAGGGATGTTGAATTTGATCAAAGGCATTTTCTGCATCTATTGAGATAATTATGTGGTTTTTGTCATTGGTTCTGTTCATTTGATGGATTACGTTTATTGATCTGCATACGTTGAATCAGCCTTGCATCCCGGGGATGAAGCCCACTTGGTTGTGGTGGATAAGCTTTTTGATGTGCTGCTGGATTCATTTTGCCAGTATTATATTGAGGATTTTTACATCTATGTTCATCAGAAATATTGGCGTGAAATTTTCTTTTCTTGTTGTATCTCTGCCAGATTTTGGTTTCAGGATGATGCTGGCCTCATAAAATGATTTAGGGAGGATTCCTTCTTTTTCTATTGTTTGGAATAGTTTCAGAAGGAATAGTACCAGCTCCTCTTTGTACCTGTGGTAGAATTTGGCTGTGAATCTGTCTGGTCCTGGGCTTTTTTTGGTTCATAGGCTATTAACTACTGCCTCAATTTCAGAACTTATTATTGGTCTATTCAGGGATTCGACTTCTTCCTGGTTTAGTCTTGGGAGGGTGTATGTGTCTAGGAATTTATCCATTTCTTCTAGATTTTCTAGTTTATTTGCGTAGAGGTGTTTATAGTATTCTCTGATGGTAGTTTGTATTTCTGTGGGATCAGTGGTGATATCCGCTTTATCATTTTTATTGTGTCTATTTGATTCCTCTCTCTTTTCTTCTTTATTAGTCTGGCTAGTGGTCTATTTTGTTAATCTTTTCAAAAAACCACCTCCTGGATTCACTGATTTTTTGAAGGGTTTTTCATGTCTCTATCTCCTTCAATTCTGCTCTGATCTTAGTTATTTCTTGTCTTCTGCTAGCCTTTGAATTTGTTTGCTGTTGCTTCTCTAGTTCTTTTAATTGTGATGTTAGGGTGTTGATTTCAGATCTTTCCCATTGCCTGCTGTGGGCATTTAGTGCTATAAATTTCCCTCTAAACACTGCTTTAATTGTGTCCAAGAGACTCTGGTATATTGTGTCTTCATTCTCATTGGTTTCAAAGAACTTCTTTATTTCTGCCCTCATTTCGTTATTCACCCAATAGTCATTCAGGAGCAGGTTGTTCAGTTTCCATGTAGTTGTGCGGTTTTCAGTGAGTTTCTTAATCCTGACTTCTAATTTGATTGCACTGTGGTCTGAGAGACTGTTTGTTATCATTTCCATTCTTTTGCATTTGCTGAGGAGTGTTTTTTACTTGAAATTATGTGGTTGATTTTAGAATAAATGTGATGTGGTGCTGAGAAGAACATATATTCTGTTGATTTGGGGTGAAGAGTTCTGTAGATGTCTGTTAGGTCCACTTGGTCCAGAACTGAGTTCAAGCCTGAATATCTTGTCAATTTTCTGTCTCTTTGATCTGTCTAATACTGACAGTGGGGTATTAAAGTCTCCCACTATTATTGTGTGAGAGTCTACATCTCTTTGTAGGTCTCTAAGAACTTGTTTTATGAATGTAGGTGCTCCTGTATTTGGGTGCATATATATTTAGGATAGTTAGCTCTTCTTGTTACATTGATCTCTTTACCATTATGTCATGCCCTTGTCTTTTTTCATCTTTGTTGGTTTAAAGACTGTTTTATCAGAGATGAGGATTGAATGCAACCCATTTTTTTTTCTTTCCATTTGCTTTGTAAATATTCCTCCATCCTTTAATTTTGAGTCTGTGTGTTCCTTTGCACATGAGATGGGTCTCCTGAATACAGCACACTGATGGGTCTTGACCCTTTTTCCAATTTGCCAATCTGTGTCTTTTAATTGGGGCATTTAGCCCATTTACATTTAAGGTTAATATTGTTATGTATGAATTTGATCCTGTCATCATGATACTAGCTGATTATTTTGCACATTAGTTGATGCAGTTTCTTCATAGTGTCATTGGTCTTTATACTTTGGTGGTTTTTTTCAGTGGCTGGTACTGGTTTTTCCTTTCCATATTTAGTGCTTCCTTCAGGAGCTCTTGTAAGGCAGGCCTGGTGGTGACAAAATCCCTCACCATTTGCTTGTCTGTAAAGGATTTTATTTCTCCTTCGTTTTTGAAGCTTAGTTTGGCTGGATATGAAATTCTGGGTTGAAAATTCTTTTCTTTAAGAATGTTGAATATTGGCCCCAACTCTCTTCCGGTTGTAGGGTTTCTGCAGAGAGATCCACTGTTAGTCTGATGGGCTTCCCTTTGTAGGTAACCTGACCTTTCTTTCTGGCTGCCCTTAACATTTTTTCCTTCATTGCAACCTTGGCGAATCTGACATTTATGTGTCTTGGGGTTGCTCCTCTCGAGGAGTATCTTAGTGGTGTTCTCTGTATTTCCCAAATTTGAATGTTGGCCTGTCTTGCTAGGTTGGGGAAGTTTTCCTGGATAATATACCAAAGTTTCAACTTGATTCCATTCTCCCCATCACTTTCAGGGACCCCAGTCAATCATACGTTTGGTTTTTTCACATAGCCCCATATTTCTTGGAGGCTTTGTTCATTCCTTTTTATTCTTTTTTTCTCTAATCTTATCTTCACGCCTTATTTCAGTAATTTGATCTTCAATCTCCCATATCCTTTCTTCTGCTTGATTGATTCGGCTATTGATACTTGTGTATGCTTCATGAAGTTCTCATGCTGTGCTTTTCAGCTCCATCAGGTCATTTATGTTCTCTAAACTGGTTATTCTAATTAGTAGTTCTTATAACCTTTTATCAAGGTTCTTAGCTTCCTTACATTGGATTAGAACGTGCGTCTTTAGCTCAGAGGAGTTTATTACCCACCTTCTGAAGCCTACTTCTGTCAATTCATCAAACTCATTCTCCATCCAGTTTTGTGTCCTTGCTGGAGAGGAGTTGCGATCACTTGGAGAACAGGGATTCTGGTTTTTGGAATTTTCAGCATTTTTGCGCTGGTTTTTCCTCTTTGTGGATTTATCTACCTTTGATCTTTGAGGCTGATGACCTTTGGATGGGGTTTTTGTGTGTGGGGGTATCCTTTTTGTTGCTGTTGATGTTACTGCTTTCTGTTTGTTAGTTTTTCTTCTAACATTCAGGCCCCTCTTCTGCAGGTCTGCTGCAGTTTGCTGGAGGTCCATTCCATACCGTTTGCCTGGGTATCACCAGCGGAGGCTGCAGAACAGCAAAGATTGCTGCCTGCTCCTTCCTCTGGAAGCTTTGTCCCAGAATAGCACTGGCCTGATGCCAGCTGAAGCTCTCCTGTATGAGGTGTCTGTCGACCCCTGCTGGGATGTCTCTCCCAGTCAGGAGGCACAGGGGTCAGGTACCAACTTGAGGATGCAGTCTGTCCCTTAGCAGAGCTCGAGCCCTGTGCTGGGAGAATCCTCCTTGTCAGTATCCACTGCTCTCTTCAGAGCCAGCAGGCAGGAATGTTTAAGACCATGGAAGCTGTTCCCACATCCAACCCTTCCCCCAGGTGCTGTGTCCCAGGGAGATGGGAGTTTTATCTATCAGCCCCTGACTGAGGCTGCTGCCTTTCTTTCAGAGATCTCTGCCCAGTGAGGAGGCATCTAGAGAGGCAGTCTGGCCACAGCCGCTTTGCCACACTGTGGTGAGTTCTGCCCAGTACAAACTTCCAGACCTCCTTAGCACTGTCATGGGAAAATGACCTACTCAAGCCTCAGTAATGATGGGTGCCCCTCCCCACACCAAGCTCAATCATCCCAGGTCGACTTCAGACTGCTATGCTGGCAGTGAGAATATTTCAAGCCAGTGGTTCCCAACTTTCTGGGCTCCATGGGAGTGGGGCCTGCTGAGCAAGATCACTTGGCTCCCTGGCTTCAGGCCCTTTCCAGGGGAGTGAATGGTTCTGTCTCACTGGGTTTCCAGGCTGTTCTATCAAGCTACCATTGAATTTCTTCACAGAATTAGGAAAAACTACTTTAAATTTCATATGGAACCAGAAAAGAGCCCCTATAGCCAAGACAATCCTAAGCAAAAAGAATAAAGCTGGAGGCATCACACTACGTGACTTCAAACAATACTACAAGTCTACAGTAACCAAAACAGCATGGTACTTGTAAGACAGATATATAGACCAATGGAACAGAACAGAGGCCTCAGAAATAACACCACACATCTACAATCATCTGATCTTTAACAAACCTGACAAAAACAAGCAATGGGGAAAGGATTCCCTAATTTTGCTGGGAAAATGGGCTAGCCATATGCAGAAAACAGAAACTGGACCCCTTCCTTACACCATATAGAAAAATTAACACAAGATGGATTAAAGACTTAAGTGTAAAACCTAAAACCATAAAAACCATAGAAGAAAACCTAGGGAATACCATTCAGAACATAGACATGGGCAAAGATTTCATGACTAAAACACCAAAAGCAATTGCAACAGCCAAAATTGATAAATGGGATCTAATTGAATTAAAGATCTTCTGCACAGCAAAAGAAACTATCATCAGAGTGAACAGTAACCTACAGAATGGGAGAAAATTTTTGCAATCTATCCATCTGACAAAGGTCTAATATACAGAATCTACAAGAAACTTAAACAAATTTACATGAAAAAAAGAACCCCACCAAAAAGTGGGTAAAGGATACGAACAGACACTTCTCAAAAGAAGACATTTATGTGGCCAACAAACATGAAAAAAAGTTCATCATTACTGGTCATTAGAGAAATGCAAATCAAAACCACAATGATATACCATCTAACACCGGTTAGAATGGCGATCATCAAAGAAAATATTCAGGCTGGGTGCCATGGCTCATGCCTGTGATCCCAGCATTTTGGGAGGCCGAGGTGGGCAGATCATGAGGTCAGGAGATTGAGACCATCCTGGCCAAGGTGGTGAAGCCCCGTCTCTACTAGAAATGCAGAAATTGGCTTGGCATGGTGGGTGGCATATGCCTGTGGTCCTGGCTGCTTGAGAGACTGGGGCAGGAGAGTCACTTGAACCTGGAAGGGGGATGTTGTGGTGAGCCGAGATCGCGCCACTGCACTCTAGCCTGGCGACGGACTGAGACTCCATCTCAAAAAAAAAAAAAATAATAATAATAATTCAACCAGGAAGGTAGATGTAATAAGTAGGAGGGCCTTTCTTCTCTAGGGAGCACCACTCATTCTCTTCCTGAGAATGTTAGTTTTATATGGATTTTCTTTAAGCATCACTTGGAAACACTACAAATAATGCAGCTAAGTGTTTAAGCAATTAGGGAATAGGAATTTTTTTTTACCCTTTCTCTTTTACTTGTTCCTTTATATATAAAATATATATATATATTTATGATACTTTAAGTTCTAGGGTACATGTGCACAACGTGCAGGTTTGTTACATATGTATACATGTGCCATGTTGTTGTGCTGCATCCATTAACTCGTCATTTACATTAGGTATATCTCCTAATGCTATCCCTCCCCACTCCCCCCACCCCACAACAAGCCCCGGTATGTGATGTTCCCTTTCCTGTGTCCATGTGTTCCCATTGTTCAATTCCCACCTATGAGTGAGAACATGCGGTGTTTGGTTTTTTGTCCTTGTGATAGTTTGCTGAGAATGATGGTTTCCAGCTTCATCCATGTCCCTACAAAAGACATGAACTTATCGCTTTTTACGGCTGCATAGTATTCCATGGTGTATATGTGCCACATTTTCTTAATCCAGTCTATCATTGTTGGACATTTGGGTTGGTTCCAAGTCTTTGCTATTGTGAGTAGTGCTGCAAGAAACATACGTGTGCATGGGTCTTTATAGCAGCATGATTTATATTCCTTTGGGTATATACCCAGTAATGGGATGGCTGGGTCAAATGGTATTTCTAGTTCTAGATCCCTGAGGAATCACCACACTGTCTTCCACAATGGTTGAACTAGTTTACAGTCCCACCAACAGTGTAAAAGTGTTCCTATTTCTCCACATCCTCTCCAGCACCTGTTGTTTCCTGACTTTTTAATGATCGCCATTCTAACTGGTGTGAGATGATATCTCATTGTAGTTTTGATTTGCATTTCTCTGATGGCCAGTAATGATGAGCATTTTTTCATGTGTCTGTTGGCTCCATAAATGTCTTCTTTTGAGAAGTGTCTGTTCATATCTTTTGCCCTCTTGTTGATAGGGTTGTTTGTTTTTTTCTTGTAAATCTGTTTGAGTTCTTTGTAGATTCTGGATATTAGCCCTTTGTCAGATGAGTAGATTGCAAAAATTTCCTCCCATTTTGTAGGTTGCCTGTTAACTCTGATGGTAGTTTCTTTTGCTGTGCAGAAACTCTTTAGTTTAATTAGATCCCATTTGTCAATTTTGGCTTTTGTTGCCATTGCTTTTGGTGTTTTAGACATGAAGTCCTTGCCCATGCCTATGTCCTGAATGGTATTGCATAGGTTTTCTTCTAGGGTTTTTATGGTTTTAGATCTAACATTTAAGTCTTTAATCCATCGTGAATTAATTTTTATATAAGGTGTAAGGAAGGGATCCAGTTTCAGCTTTCTACCTATGGCTAGCCAGTTTTCCCAGCACCATTTGTTAAATAGGGAATCCTTTCCCCATTTCTTGTTTTTGTCAGATTTGTCAAAGATCAGATGGTTGTAGATGTGTGATATTATTTCTGAGGGCTCTTTTCTGGTCCATTGGTCCTATATCTCTGTTTTGGTACCAGTACCATGCTGTTTTGGTTACTGTAGCCTTGTAGAAATAGGAATGTTTTAAATACAGAGTTTTGTACTGCAAAGTATTTACAAGTATTAAGAGATTGTAGTACACAACTTTGTTGTAAAACTCTAGTAATGTAAATTGATACTAAAGAAAACGAACCCAGAAAAATCAAGTAACTTGGATCACACAGCACAAGAATTAAGAAAAGGAGGAAATTATTATTCTTTGTTGAATATTTTCCATTTGAATAGTTAAAAGAAAATTAAGTATTTGCATATTATATAAAAATTAATGTGTATTGACATAGTGGAAAATAACCATGTGTAAATCTGGAACAATATTTGATATACTTACTAATAAATAAAAATTGAAAGTTAAAAAAAAGTCAGGAAATGACAGATGCTGGCGAGGATGTAGAGATACAGGAGCACTTTTACACTGTTGGTGGGAGTGTAAATTAGTTCAACCATTGTGGGAGACAGTGGCGATTCCTCAAGGATCTAGAACCAGAAATATCTTTTGACCCAGCAATCCCATTACTGGGTATATACCCAAAGGATTATAAACCATTCTGCTATAAAGACACATGCACACATATGTTTATTGCAGCACTATTTACAACAGCAAAGACTTGGAACCAACCCAAATGCCCATCAATGATAGACTGGATAAAGAAAATGTGGCACATATACACCATGGAATACTATGCAGCCATAAAAAAGGATGAGTTCATGTCCTTTGCAGGGACATGGATGAAGCTGGAAACCATCATTCTCAGCAAACTAACACAGGAACACAAAACCAAACACCACACGTTCTCACTCATAAGTGGGAGTTGTACAATGAGAACACATGGACACAGGGAGGGGAACATCACACACTGTGGCCTGTCGGGGTATTGGGGGCAAGGAGAGGGAGAGCATTAGGACAAATATCTAATGCATGTGGGTCTTAAAACCTAGATGATCGGTTGATAGGTGCAGCAAACCACCATGGCACATGTATACCTATGTAACAAACCTGCACGTTCTGCACATGTATAACTTAAAGTAAAAAAAAAAAAAAAAGGCTGGGCGCAGTGGCTCATGCCTGTAATCCCAGCACTTTGGGCGGCTGAGATGGGCGGATCACAAGGTCAGGAGATCGAGACCATCCTGGCTAACATGGTGAAACCCCATCTCTACTAAAAATACAAAAAAAATTCACTGGGCGTGGTGGCGGGCGCCTGTAGTCGCAGCTACTGGGGAGGCTGAGGCAGGAGAATGGCGTGAACCCGGGAGGCAGAGCTTGGAGTGAGCCGAGATCACGCCACTGCACTCCAGCCTGGGGGATGGAGCAAGACTCTGCCTCAAAAAAAAAAAAAAAAGAAAAACAATGAAGTAAATATAAAATCTTTAAAAATACGATAACTAACACAAGTAAAAGAAACCAGACTTTATATAAAAAAGTCAAACAGGAAATAATAATACTATGAACACTACAACCAGGATAGCAGAAATTTAAAATCAACAGAAGGATTGGAAGATAAATCTGGAGAAACACTACTTAAAATGGAATGATTGGCAGTCTATTAGTTTCCTAGTGCTCCTGCAACAAATTTCCTCAAATTGGTGACTTAAAGCAACAGAATTTTTTTTTTCTCACACTTCTAAAGACTAAAATTCTGCAGTCATGCTGTTGACAGGGTCCCACTCCCACTGAAGCTCTGGGGGCAAATTGGTCCTTGCCTCTTGTAGATTCTTGTGGCTCTGAGAATTGCATTGCTTGTGATTGCACCATTTCAATCTCTGCCTCCACCTTCACAGGGCCTTCTCTTGTCTCTGTATGTCTATGTCTCTCCTTTGCATGTCTTTTTTTTTTTTTTTTTCCCAAGATGGAGATTTACTCTGTTGCCCAGGCTGGAGTACAGTGACATGATCTCAGCCTCACTGCAACCTCTGTCTCCTGGGTTCAAGCTATTCTCCTACTGCAGCCTCTGAGTAACTGGGATTATATGTGCATGCCACCACACCTGGCTAATTTTTTGTAATTTAGTAGAGATGGGGTTTCACCATGTTGGCCAGGCTAGTCTTGAACTCCTGACCTCAAGTGATCCACCCGTCTCAGCCTCCCAAAGTGCTGGGATTACAGGTGTGAGCAGCTACACCTGGCCTTGCATGTCTCTTAATAGGATATTTGTCACTGAATTTATGCCTCACCTGGATAATCCAAGATAATCTCATCTTGAAATCTTGCACTTAATTGCATCTGTGAAGAACCTTTTTTCAAATATGGTCATACTTATAGGTTTTGAGGATTATGATATGGACATATCTTTTTAAAGGCCACCATGAAACCCACCACAGGGAGAAACAGGGTACAGTAGAAAAGGATACAAGAAAATTAGGAGATCAATTTAAGAGGCTTGACATCTGGGTAAAAGGAATTCCAGGAAAATAGGAAATAGAAGGTAAGAAATTGTCAAATGTTATATAAAAATTCTCAGAACTAATGGGCATGAGTTTTCAAATGAAAGATGCTACTTCCAGTTTTAGTTTCAACATGTAAAGAATTTAGAAGTCATTGTTCCCATCCTAACATCAAGAAAAAAGCTGTACAGATTTAAAATTAATGATTTTTTTTTTGGTCCATCTGACACCTAAGTTTGCAGGGTGAGCTGCCTCCTCAAACTCTGGAGAAACAGGCTAATCAAAAAGTCACAGATGGGATCTGTTCATCTGGAGCAGAAGCTACTTGGAAGCATTAACTGGCGAACATAATTCCAGAAGCTACTGGAAGCATTAACTGGTGGACACAAGGAATGGCAATTGTGATGAATTCTTGAAGTCTGAACGGAGACTAGACTGTGTCAGAAACTCCCAGGAGCCGCAATCTTAGGAGAAGCTTCCACACTTTCATGATCTTTACCTTTAACAACCTCACTAGATTCCTAAGAATGATGATCTCATAAAGATACCCTACTGGCTTAATAGGGAAAGATAAATAATTATGTACCAAAACCAAGGGAAATTTATTACATATATGCAAATACTGTTTTTCATTAGAAAGTCAGCCAATGAAATACATCAAAGGAACAGATTAAAGAAGAAAAATTATATGATTATATCAATTGATGCAGAAAAAGCATTTGAAAAAATCCTAAAAATACTCATTCATTAAAAAAAAACTCAGCAAACTTGGAAGACAGAGAGATTTCCTCTACTTGGTTAGGAACATCTATATAAAATCTGCATTTTATATTATATTCAATGAGAACACTCAACACTATTTTTCTAAGATTGGGAACTAGGAAGGGACGTTCTCTCTCACTCTTCTATTCAATATCATAATAGAAGTCCTAGACAGTGTAATAAGATAAGAAAAAATAAAGGCACGAATATTGGGAAGAAATAAAACTGTCTCTTAATTGTAAAAACAAATCCCAAATAATTGACAAAAAAAATCTGGAACTAATAAGTATGGCAAGATCATAGGACATAAGGCTAAAACACAAAATCTAAATACTAGTAATGTAAAAGTAGTACTTTAAATTTAAAAAGCTATAGCATTTATAATAACACCAAATCCATAAAGCATTTATGTGTATTATGTGAGTAGAATACAGGTATAACTCTAACAAAAATTTATATGTGAAAATCTACAAAACTTTAATAAAAGATTCACATAAATGAGAGATATTCCACATTTATAGATTATAAGACTCAATATTTTAAGATACCAATTTTTCCTATCTTGATCTATGTGTGGAACATGATCTCAGTCAAAATCCCAGCAAGGATATCAACAAACTAATTCTGAAGTTTTTAAGAAAAGGTAAAATTCTAGAATAGCCAACACAATACTGAAGAAAAAAATGTTAGAGGACTCAATACTACCTGATTTATTACATACTATTATATAGTAATGCAGACAGTCTGATGTTGGCAAAAGAATAGACACATATATAAGTGGAACAGTGTAAGAGTCCAGAAATGGACCCACACAATCTGGTTGGCAACTCTTTGACAAAGGAGCAAGTCAATTCGATGGAGAAGGGATAGTTTTTTTTAACAATTGGAAGAATCTATATGCAAACAAATAAGAAATGGAACCTGGAGACAGACTCCTTAGCTTACACAAAAATTAACTAAAAATGAATCATAGACCTAAATGTAAAATGCAAAACTATAAAACTTAAAAAAAATAGGAGAAAATCACCTACAGCTTGGGTTTGGAGATAAGCTGTTAAATATAATACCAACAACGCAATTCATGAAAAACTTGATACATTTAACTTTATTAAAATAAAAACATAGTAAAGAGGATGAAAATGCAAGCCATAGGTGGGTAGAAATATTTGCAAATTATATATCTGATAAAGGACTTGTATTAAAATTTATGTAGAAAACTGAACAAGAAGAAAATAACCACCCAATTGAAAATGGGCATAAGATCTGAGTGGATACCTCACCAGAGAAGATTTACAGACCAAATATTCACATGAAAATATACTCAACATCATTTGTCGTTAGGAAATTGTAAATTAAAATAACAGTGAGGTATTACAAAACATCTGTTAGAATGGCTAAAATCCAACATCGCCGAATGCTGTAGAGCAACAGGAATTCATTCACTGCTGATGAGAATGCAACTGGTGCAGCCACTGTGGAAGACATTTGTCAATTTCTTATAAATCTAAATGAAGTCTTTCCATATAATCTATAATTTTGCTCCCATGTTTACCTACATTATTTGAAAACTTATGTCCACATAGAAACATGCTTGTGCATGTTTATTTTAGCTGTATGCACAATGGCCAAAATCGACACAACCCAGCTGTCCTCAAGAGGAAAATGAATATATAAAATATGGCACATCCACACAATGAAAACTAATTTAATAATTTTTAAAAATGACCTCTCAGCCATGAAGAGACATAGATGAATCATAAATACATATTGCTAAGTTAAAGGAAGCTAGCATGAAAAGGCTTACATACCACATGATTTCAATTGCATGAAATTCTGGGAAAGGTGTAGAGATGGGAGATGGGAGGGAGGGTCAAGTAGCTGCAGCACAAGAGAATCTTTAAGGTAGTGAAACTACTATGTATGAAACCGAAATGGTGCATATGAGTTATTTTGCGTTTGTCAAACTGCATATGTCAAACTGTATAACACAAATAGTGAATCTTAATATATATATATTAAAAACATATATATTTGGAGGTCAAGGAATCCCAGAATGGAAGGAAGAATGTGATAAAATAATCTAATGTTATTACATATATATCAAACAACCTCACTAGGGTGGATAGGGCTATAAGCTACTGACTTAAGTACTTCAGAAATATCTGGATTCTAGAAAACAAAAGGTACGGTGGCTCACCCCTGTAATCCCAGCACTTTGGGAGGCCGAGGCAGGCAGATCATGAGGTCAAGAGATTGAGACCATCCTGGACAACATGGTGAAACCTCATCTCTACTAAATAAAATACAAAAAATTAGCTGGGTGTGGGGGCATGCACCTGTAGTCCCAGCTACTGAGGAGGTTGAGACAGGACAACTGCTTGAACCCAGGAGGCAGAGGTTGCAGTGAGCTGAGATAGTGCCACTGCACTCCAGCTTGGAGACAGAGAGAGACTCCATCTCAAAAAAAAAAAGGTAAAAGAAACTATATATAAGTACTGTACTCTAGTTGATAAAAGTCTGCCCCCTCCCCAGAGATATAGGTTAATAATTCTGAAATCACTATACACAGATATTGGAATTGACCATTTCGTAAATAAATGACAGATGATAGAAGCCAGGTTTCTCACTTTTGGAGTGGGAACTTACAAATAAGCAAGAGCAAGGGACTCAAATGATCATTGTGGTAATGACTTAGGGTTGGAAATATCATTATAAACTCATGTTTAGTTAAATATAAATATCGATATTGAGATAGGGGTGTGTGTGTGCATGTGCACACGTGTGTATACACAGGTTAGAACCCACACATCTATCTTCATGCTCTGTTAGCTGAGACTGCCTAGAAACAACCTCACACTAGTACAACAAACATATCTAGTGCCTAGATCTTGGTTTCTAATAGCATTCATTAGAAAGAAGTACAAGCGTTCTTTGAAAAAATGGGTTATTATAGGTCTGGTGCCAGAAATATATAAAATGTGCCTGGACCATCATAGTGCCAGAAAGTAAGGAAGTGCTCAAACACACACACATGCACATGTACACTCATGATGATAGGGGTATGTTAAAGGGAGATAGAAGACAACTGAAAGAAACCCAGTGGCCAAACATTTTGAGTATCAAGAGAAAAAGAATATTGGGTTACAACCCCAACAATAAAATATATATCCATTTTTTTCATATTTGCATATAAATGATTGAATAAATACATACATATGGGAGAGTAGATAAATATTTCATACAGAAGAGTTTAAATAATTTATATAAATACTCATCCTTAAGGAAGTTGAACATAACTTTTCAGTTGTTAAATATGAGCTGGGCATAGGGGCTTTATTCCAAAGAGTACAGTATGGAAAATGAGAAAAAAAATTAAAAAGCTGTATAGTGAAGAAACCTAACAAATACTATATCAAGCCATGTGATCACAGTTAACATCAACAGTGATGAGACATGCTGCTAATATGAACCCTCAATATGGTATGATAAAAATAGTACTTTATGTGTTTGTCTTCTTCCCCAAAACAAGAATAGCACCAGAAGAATCCCAAATTAAGATCAGTCAACAAGATATCTAACCAGCGCTCTTCTCAAAATTGTCAGTCACAAAAAAGAAGAAATGGCTGAGAAATTATCACAGCTGAAAGAACTTTAGGATATAACTAGATGTAATGTGGCATTCAGAATGCAATCCTGTAACAGAAAAAGGACTTTAGGGAAAAACTGAGAAAATCTGAAGAACAAGCATGAACTTTAGTTAATAATAATGTATCAATATTATTTTATTAATTGAGACAAACATACCATACTAATGCATAATAATAATAGGGGCAACTGGCTGTAGAAGGTACAAGGGACTTCTGTACTACTTCATAATATTTCTGTAAATTTTACCCAGCATAAAATAAAAATTTTATTAAAAGGAAGAAAGGTGCCATAAAGTAAATGTTCAACACAATGAATGAAAAATACAGTAAAGCACATCTTTACACAACTTATAACACTGAGAAATTTCATCATACTCTTCAACAACGATACTGAATATGTTATGAAAATGGAACAATATTTTTTTACTTTCATTATGCTCTTTTCTATTTAGAAAGTGTAAAAATAGCAGGGTGAAGGAGGGATAGTGCCCTGATTCATGTAGATCTCATAACTTACAGGGGAATTGATAATCTAATCCATCTTTATCTGATATCTAAACAAATGTTTCCAAAAGCATGTTCTGCAAAGCAAATCACTTGTCAGGAGATATTTTCTAAAGAAAAGACTCCATGGTCAAATTAATTTATAAATGATGAGTAAAACAGTGGTAAGCTTTTGCATTGTCTCCCTGCTTTGTGAAGCTCCAAGGGGAAAATCAATGCAGTATTTCCCAGACATATGTGATAAGGGAGCCAGCTTTTCACAAAGCATCTGGAGGGCAGATCCTAGCACTTTGGGACATTTTGCTCTAACATTCTAAATAGTAAATATTAGGTACCAGAAACATATGTTTCTAAATATTATTTCTAAAGTAACTGAAAAATCTCAATAATAATTAAAGAAAGGCCAGGAATTCTAAGTATTAGTTAAGACTTAAAGAGGAGCAAAACATTCCAATATTGGGGACGGGCATAGGGAGGAAGAAGGAAAAGAAGGGGAGGAAGAAGGAGGAGACCTCTAAAGGGGTCACCTCAGGTCAGACTCTCTTCTACCTGACCCTTCTACAAACCTTGTTTCATACCTTGCTTGGAGTTTTTTTCCCTTGTTTTTTGTTTTTATTTTTTTCTTCCTTCCTTCCCTCCTTCCCTCCTTCCTTCCTTCCTTCCTTCCTTTCTTCTTCCTTTCTTCCTTTCCTTTCCTTTTCTCTCTTTTTTTTCTTTTTTCTGCGAGAGATAGAGTTCATCTCTGTTGCCCTGGCTGGAGTGGCACAGTCGTAGCTCACTGCAGCCTCACATTCCTGGCTGGGCTCAAGCAAATCCCCTTACCTCAGCCTCTGGATTAAGCCAGGAATATAGGCATGCCATCATGCCCCACTATTTTTTTTTTTTTGGTAGAGATGGGGGTCTCACTATTTTGCCCAGGCTGGTCTTGAACTCCTGAGCTCAAGTAGTTTTTACTCTTCTATAGCAACTTAACCTGCAATGAACTGAAGCTGAAGAGATGAAATGTGATCTCAGAGTGCTACTGGAATTTCACTGTAGCATATTCATTTCCATTTGCATTTTAGGAATCTTTGTCAGGAAGTCATTATTTTTCTGTCAAAATATTGCAACTTAATTTTGATCAGCCATTTCTGCACAACAGGGAAACAGAGATGAAGTTAAAAGCTTAATTAGGTTCAGGGACTCCCTAGCCTCTGTGCTCACTATGGTCTTAAATATAAAATGACATACCGTGTATTAGTACTTATTCCTGGTTGGTCAGGTTGATGTAGTTGAGAATTCTGGACCTAGTTTGAGTTTCACTTGCATTTTATTTTTTTGCCTTTAAATATGTGGAAGGGAAATAACATTTAGTGTGCACCAGCTATATGTTTTGCCCTGTGTAAGAGATTTTTATCCACATCAATCATTTACTCAGCACAAAAAACCTGGAAGGCCATTGTAAAGGAACTTTAGTTTGGTCACTCAGGAATGGTCTTTATTTGCTTATCACCATTTTCTATGTCCTGCAGGTAGAAGATTGGATAGCTTCTGTATATTAATGTGCTATAAGATTTTATCACTTTTGCTTTGAATGTGTTCTAGCAGGGTAAAGTATCTGCAGAATGCCAATCCTGACCTTAAGCTCTCAGTCCTAGACTGCTTATAAAATGTCTTCCAATATCTACTTTGGTCTTATAGCTCTTGAGAAAAGAAAATCCTCTGCCTTCAATTTCAGTATCTAAAACACATATTCTTAGAAAATCTTATTATGTCTAATCCAGGGGTTCTCAAATATGAGTCTGCCATGGAATCAACTGTGGGATTTTTTTTAATTGGCAAGAGACTCCGATGCAACAGATCTAGGATACGGCCCAGACCTCCACACTTCTAAGACATTTCATCAGTGCTTCTGGGGCTCACTACCTAATAAAGCACTAATCTCATTATGCTTAGAACATAGGTCACATAAGTAAGTTTTAGTAAAATTCTATCTATGATACAGCACAAGTCTGGCTGACAAGCAGAATAATAGGAATAATATTACTATCTGTGGAAAAAGGAACAGAGCACCACAACGAGCCTATGAGACCATAGAAGCAGTCGAGTTTCAAACAGTGACATGTTGCTAAACATTTGATATATATGAAATTGAGTAGGTTTCACAATGTGAACTGATGCAGACTTCTGGGAGCATTTTACCCAAGCCATCTCACACTGGTACTTGAAATCTGCAGTGAAATTGGAATGGAAGGCTTTGTTTCAATCCATTCCAATATTCCCTGACATGCACAAGAATCCCCATGTAGGATAAATTAACCAGAGAGAATAGGAGCTGAATGAGTAGGACTGGCAGGCAGTCTTTTTAAATCACATACCAGATCCATATTTACACTTCCTATTTGTAGCTTCCCTCATAGAAATGGACTCGTGTGAAATAGGAGAAAAATTGGTTAAAATGTACCTTAGAGAGGATGACAAGAGAAGGAAGTGATGGATGGGTAGCATAGATGCCTACTTAGGCTCCATTACCAAACGAATGAGCATCTTTTTATGTGCTGAATTTCTCTAATAATTTGTGTTGATGATGATTTGGCAGCAAATTAAGATCAATTCATGCAAATTTCCTTCCTTACTGTGCTGAAGAGGTAGGAGAGGGATTGAAGCAGGGAACTTCCAACTCTGTGCTCTGTTAATTTATCTTCTGAGATGTAGTTACCTTTTTGCTACCCAGATTCAGAACATGAAGCCTTTCTTTCGCTCGTGGTGTTTCTGTAGTACTCTGATATTTAATATGTGCTCTGGGATCAGCAATATTAGTACCATGAGGGAGGTTGTTGTAAATATAGAGTCCCAGACTTCATTCCAGACCTGTGGAATCAGAATTTGCATTTTACCAAAATCTCAAGATGATATAGGTATAAACCAAAGATTATATAGGTATAAACCATGTTATGGAGGAATTTATTATGGTCTGGCAAGCCATACTGAGAGATAACTTCAGTACAATGAGGTAAGTGCTATGATATAAAAAACTGTTCCAGGGATGTTGGAGAAGCACGAAAAAGGGGGCATTTACCACATTTGGGCATTAGTATGTGCATTATTACAGTTTGTGGAACACTGATCTAAAAGACACAAGTGATAATGTTCTGCTACATAGACCAGGAACTTGAGATTGTTACACTTAGTTAAATTACCCTGGGGCCAGGGTTTATTTCTTGTATTGAAGGCATGGTACTTTGATGATCAGCTGTTCCAGAAATGATTTGCACCTGGTTTATGCTTCTCGGCCTGCAGCCCAGGATTTTTTAGCTTCACATGCTCCTCCTGCTTTGACTCATGCTGTTTATTCAACATCCCTACATTGTCTCCATGCCCAAATGTGGTAAATGCCCCCCTTTTTTGTGCTTCTACAACATCCCTGGAATAGTTTTTTATATCATAGCACTTGCCTCATTGCACTGAAGTTATCTATCAGTATGGTTTGCCAGACCATAAATTCCTCCATAACATAGTTTATACCTATATCATCTTTGTGTAAGGCACTAACAGCAACAGTGTGTGAAACACTGTGGATACCAAGATTACTCTTAATGAATACTGGTTTAAGTGAACGAATAACTTCATCAGCAGAAAAGGAGGCATAGGCTGGGTGACTGGGTGATATAATCAGATAGGTGGCTGCCAAGTGAAAGTGTATCTATTCAGCAGCCTTGATGAACAAGTGATATCCAGGGAAAGGGAAATAACCATGTAGGCCTACCCTGCCCACATCTTTTTCATTAAGTTCAATTCTGAGTTTTAATCTCTAAGAATTTTCATATCACTATCAAATCTAACATTGTAAACACCACTCCAATCTGGGCATCACTCCAGACCAGCTGAATTAAAAAGTCTTGGAGGTGGGGACTAAGGCCTTACTGTTTTTAAACCCCTGACGAAATGTTCATAATCCACTTTTCTATGAGGATTGTCTAAAACCATTATAGACAGAATAGAAACTGAGATACTGAAAGCTTTAGGAAATAAGAAATAGAATTATAAGCCATATTATTGTGACCATCTTCATCCTGGAAAAGATATGACTCAGAGGAAGGATAAGTTTTCTTTAAGTTCTATAGGAGCTGTCATGTGGAAAATGATATTTTTAGTGACTCCAGAAGGTACAATAAATATAAGTAAAGAGAAATTTAAGGGAGTTCAACTTAATATGTAGCAGCTGTAACATTTTTTCAAGATCCATATATATTTAGATGTACAAACAAACAAAAAGAAAATATAATTAATATCTTCATTGTTTTAGCTTTCTGAAACTCAGCCTCTGTATGGAACTTCTACTTGATGTCATAACATGTGAATTTGATGTCAGAATGTATAATTTTTGTCACTTCTGGGTAAATCCAGGTGCTTCACTGTCTTCTCAGTTATTTCAACTTTAGTTTGGTGAAATCAGCATTTTTCCCATCTCCCTTCTTTTCCTTACGTTCACGACTACATTTTGTGTGGTTTGTCCACAATCTTGGTTTTTTTGAAAGGCGGGGGAAAAGACATGTATTTCATCCTCTGTTAAAGGTAGGCATTTGCTGAGAATTAACTGCTTTGGTCACTGAATGGGTATGTCCAATAAAATGTTTGTATCTCCATTGGATGCTCTGTTTTATGATCCACAGAGCTTTACAGCTCTTGTATACACCCCTCAGGATACATCATCTCTCTCTTAGCTAGCCTTTGGCTGGAACTTTCTTAGAGACACAGGAAAGTCTAGCTGTCTGTGAAATTATTTCAACACTATGGGGCCTTTAGAGCTGCCTTTTCTGCATTGGCCTCACCTTAAGTTAATGCTACTGCATCCTTCCGGAGTTTCAGATGGAAACTTCGAAGTTTTCTTCCTGAAATACATTTGAGGATTCATCTTTCCCAAAACACATCCAAGTGTAAAAATCATAAGGTAACACCTCAAAAGTATGATTAAATCATGGAAAGGAGATCTTTTGTCAAGGGTATCTATCAAAAATAAAATGTACCAGATCAAAATATATTCTACGTCCTATTACAGGAAATTTAAACAGTGTCTAAGTGACCAGTTTTACGGATATGGTTAAGGAAATCCAAGATTATTTTAGAAGGTTGGATTAAACCACTGGTTCCTAAATGTAGTTATGCAGTAGAATCCCCTAGAGATGTCAAAGCTTAAATTCTAAGGTCCTCTCCATTTTTGCTTATTCAGAAATTTGGAGAAGAAAGGATATTTATTTTTTGATATAGCCTCACTACAATAACTGTAATAGCATTGTACAGTTTTTATCCAGAGAATATTCTCTCCCTGGTAAACATTCTGTGGCAGATCTGTTGACTTTATCTTAAGGAAAAAACAAAGCAGGCCTAGTGAGCATTGCAGAGTCCTCATGAGCCATACATTTGACTGGCTCCTGGTGTCACCCTCTTGGGTTTCCAAGGCTTTAGACTCCTCTGCTTTTCCGAGTAGAATGAGTTGGTGAGTGAGGAAGATCAGGGTTACGACCCTTAAAAAAGAAGCAGGCGGACAATCAGTGTGGCTTTGCTGACGTACTTCTGCTGAGCTCCGCTTCCAGAGAACAGCCGTTCAGAAAACAACCTGGTTTTCTTTCAGGTAAAAGGCAACTTTCTCTCTTCTCGAGAGAAAAAGAAAAGGATGCATCAAAACCAAATTCACCTCACTTCTCTCAGAGAGATTTTGGATGTTCATGTTAAGTTATTTTTGAGGTATCTGCACATGGTTGACAGATAAATGTGTGTGTCTAATGTGGACATATTCCTTGCCTCCTCCTAACCATAGGAACAGTTTTTTATTCAAGTGTTTCTGCATTGCAGAGGTTATCTGAGAAAGATTAAAGTAGGTATATTTTTATATCTTAAGTTCAGCAGTAAACCAGACCATTCGTACATAATCCGGTTTATTTTGTTTAACAACAGATATTACTAAATATTTCTCTCAAGTCAGGCTAGTTACACTATTCCTTTCTGATACTTTCACCACCAACTAAATATGTCTTTTCCCTATTTTTTTTTTGTTTGTTTGTTTTTAGGGTATGAGAATCTAAGGTCTATTTTTAAGCCTGGGGAAAAGGACAATTGCAGAGAAAAGACCGAAAATGTGAAAGAGAAAGAGATGGTCTTGGTGAAGATGGGTCAAGATAGGCTTGTAATAAACATGATGCCCTGATAGTGCCTGGAGATGCCCCTGGCCAGGCCAGAGAACACAACATATTAAACTTGAACAAATTAAACTGTTGGTCAAAACTGGCTCACCTCCCAGAGTCTGTTTTTTTTGAAACGGAGTCTTGCTCTGTTGCCCAGGCTGGAGTTCAGTGGCACAATCTCCGCTCACTGCAAGCTCCGCCTCCCATGTTCAGGCCGCTCTCCTGCCTCAGCCTCCCAAAGAGCTGGGACTACAGGCACCTGCCACCACGCCCGGCTAATTTTTTTTGTGTTTTTAGTAGAGACGGGGTTTCACCGTGGTAGCCAGGATGGTCTCCATCTCCTGACCTCATGATCCGCCCGCCTCAGCCTCCCAAAGTGCTGGGATTACAGGCGTGAGGCACCACACCTGGCCCAGAGTCTGGTTTTAATTCCTGAATTACAGAGTCTGGAGTTCTCCACCAGAGTTTCTCTTCCCTGTGACTACTCCTCCCTCTGGGGACAATGATGTTTTCTCCATGCCCTTTGAACATCCGTGAGCCCCATTCATCGATATCGAGGGCACAGTATGGTCCATGCTTGGTAAGGATGTACATCTTTACAAGTAGGAAGTTGAGAATAGTACACAACCAGTCCAGAAAATGAAAACTGTACTTCTTTGTTTTTAGCTGCTTACATCTCCATAGAGGTAAGTAGGATAGAAGGAAGTCTTGCCATTATTTCTGTTAAGTTACCACCCTTTAGTTAGAAAAGACCTTTAACAGGCCAGGCATGGTGGCTCATGTCTGTAATCCCACCACTTTGGGAGACCAAGGCGGGCAGATCACTTGAGGTCAGGAGTTTGAGACCAGCCCGGCCAACATGGTGAAACCCTGTCTCTACCGAAAATTCAAAAATTATTCCGGCATGGTGGCAGACGCATCTGTAATCCCAGCTACTCAGGAGGCTGAAGCAGGAGAATCACCTGAACCTGGGAGGCAGAGGTTACAGTGAGCCGAGATTGTGCCACTGCACTCCAGCCTGGGCCACAGAGCAAGACTTCATCTCCAAAAAAAAAAGAGAGAGAAAGAAAAGAAAAAGACCCTTAACAAAAGAAAAGCATGGATAGTAAGAGGCAGATAAGAGAAAATCAAAGTGAATCATCTTCTACTGTGAGCACCTAACTACTTTAGCCACTACAGGCCCAAATCAAGAGTTAGTTTGTTGTCCCTGACAAAAAAGGAGCTAGTTTAAAAAAAAAAAAAAGAGAAGTGAAAAGGAAAATAAAAGTCAGAAAATGACTAAAACAAAACCAAAGGAATCTATTCCAATTTTATGAACAATAAGAGAGAAACAAATTTCCAAATAGTTTTGTCGTTTTTAATTTTCTTTGACCTTCTCATATTTAAATTATGCCGTACTGCTAGGTTTCCTTTTAGACAGAGAAAGGAAATGCTGTGTAATAGGATCAAAAATTTAAGTAACTTGGTCCAGACAATACAATTAAGATGAGTGGGTCAAGATTCAACTCCAGTTTCAGCCTCAAAATCCTCTTGTGCAAAGTGGGCAATTGTACTTACATCATAGACTCATAGTGAGGATGAAATCTGATTACATAAGGAAATTGTGTAGAGCAGACTTTATGATAGAATAAGTCTTCAAAAGCTGATACTTAACCATTATTATTATTATTAACTAGCAGCTCAAAAGACTGTTAGCTCATCAAACAGGTACCAACTCTATTTTCATTTTTTTGAGAGAACTCAGAAGCAATGAGGTTCCTATTAACAATAATAATAATAATATCAGAAAGAATAAGTTGGTTTAGGCTGCAGTAACAAAGAAAGCTCAAATCTCAGTGGATTAAAACAAAGACCCACTTCTTGAGAGTCAGCTGGGAGCACTGTTCCACATCATTCTGTTCTGATTCGAGGCTGATAAACCATGGTCTTCTTTTAATGATGTGCTGGTCACTGTGGCAGAGGATGAAAGACAGCAGGATTAAGCACATCCATGCCCTTGAAGCTTCTATCTAGAAATAACAGGGCACTTCCGCTTCCATTTCATTCACTGTAATGAGTCACCTGGGTGGGGAATTACAGTACTCTGTGTGTCCAGATGGAAAGAGAACCAGAGTATCAGTGACAGCCCTATAGCAGCAGTCACACTGTCTGTATATTAAAGACCTACAAGACAGGAATCATGATGTGATTTTTATACATTATCTCATCATCATGATAATTCTCAATGAGGGCTGCTTTAATCCACAATTTGCAGATGAGGAAGCTGAAGTGCAGGGCATTTGGAAGAGTAACCCAAGTGCAGGGAACTAATAAATGACAGAGCCAAGATCTGAATTCAGATCTTCTGCTACACACAATACTACCTCCCTTATCTACACATGGACTTGGGGATGGTTTAATCTGGATGCCTTCCTTGTTTGGGAGGTACTGTAGAAAAGAAGACACATTTTGAATATGGTGCCATAGCTTTAGAACCAAAATGTAAACAAAAGTGTTCAGCAGTAATGTTTAAAAAAAAAAAAGGCCTCTGAATTATAATTCTGCTTCACCTTAATCATTAATGTCATCATCATTCTTTTACATTAAAAAGAATGTCAGGTTCTTGACAGAACAGAGCTGCTATGCAGAATTTGGAAATTATAATGATTCAACTAATAGGGGCTGCTAAGGTGAGCTAGCAAATGTGCTAACATCTTTATGCATTATCTCGGTTAGTCTTCCCAGCATCTCTTTGAGAAAGATATTATTATCTCCACTTTCATATAAGGAAACTGTGGCTGAGAGGCATTTTGTACTTTGCCCAACATACCACAGCCTGCTTAGTTTTGGCTGTGCCATCTTTAAATCCTATAGCCTGTGCTTTTACCCACCATGTATTCTTACTTCCTTAGCCCCTGAATACTCCGAACATGTGGTTTTGAGATGTTTACATTGGATACTCAATCCTAGTCTCTCTGTATACATTCCTTTATCTCCAAGACATACTACGCTTTTTCCTTACCTATTTGTGCTGCCCAAATAGGCTTTCTGAAAATTTTCTAGTTCTAGACACCCACATCTCACTGAACATTTAAAAGGCATGTCAAAAAAAAAAATGAGACAACATCAAACTAAAAAGCTTTTTCACACCGAAGGAGACACTCAACAAAATAAAAAGAACAACCTTCAGATTGGGGAAAAATATTTGTAAACTATACATCTGATGAGGTGTTAATATACAAATTTATAAAGAATGCATACAACTCAATAGTAAGAAAACATATAACCCAATTTTAAAAATCGGCAAAGGACCTGAATAAACATTACTTTAAAGAAGACATAAAAATGGCCAATAGGTATATATTTTAAAAATGCTCAAAATTACTACTCATTAGGGAAATGCACATCAACACCACCGTGAAATATCACCACATATCCATTATGATGGCTATTACCAAAAAAGACAAGAGAGAGCAAGTGTTGGTAAGGGTGAGGAAGAAAGGAAACATTTGTGCACCGTTGGTGGGAATGTAGTTTGGTGCAACCATTGTGAAAAATAGTATAGAGGTTCCTAAAGAAGTTAACAATTAAATTTCCATGTGACTCCGCAATCCCTCTCTTGAGTATATAACAAAAGAAATAAAACCATCACCTTGTAAAAATACATGTACTCTAATGTTTAATGCAGCATAATTCACAATAGCCAAGGCAGGGAAACAATCTAAGTGTCCATTGATGGCAAAATGGATAAAGAATGTAATATATATATATGCAATGGAATATTATTTAGCCTTTTAAAAAGCAGGAGATCGTGCCATTTGCACACATGGATGAACCTGGAAGACATTATGCTAAGTAAAATAAGCCAGCTGCAGAAAGAAACATATTGCATGAGGACTATAGTTAATAAAGGCATAACTCATTTTACTGCACTTCACAGATATTCCCTTTTTTTTTTTGCAAGTGGGAAATTTGTTGCAACTCTGCATCATGCGAGTCTATTGGCACCATTTTTTCAACAGCATGTGGTCACTGTGTTCTCTCTGTCTCATTTTGGTAATTCTCACAATAATTCAAACCATTTTATTATTTGTGTATCTGTTATGATGATCTGTGATCAGTGATCTTTGAGGTTACAGATTGTTTTGGGGCACAATATACCTTGCCCACATATGACAGCAAACGTAATTGGTAAATGTTGCGTATGTTCTGACTTCTCTACCAACTGGCTGTTCCCTCATTTCTCTCCCTCTCCTGGGACTTCCCTATATCTTGAGATAAAACAATATTGAAATTAGGCCCGTTAACATTACAATGGCCTCTAAGTGTTCAAGTAAAAGGAGAGAATCACATGTCTTTCAGTTTAAGTCAAAAACTAGAAAATGATTAAGCTTAGTGAAGAAGGCACGTTGAAAGCTTGAGACAGACCAAAACTTCAGGCCTCTTATACCACACAGTTAGCCAAGTCGTGAATGCAAAGAAAAAGTTCTCAGAGAAAATTAAAAGTGCTACCTTAGTGAGCACACATAAGAGAGTGGAACAATCTCATTGCTGATACGGAGAAAGTTTTAGTGGTCTGAATAGAAGATCAAACCAGCCACAACATCTTTTTTTCATGAGAGTCTGCTGTTGATGATTTCTTTGTTTTTGTATGTTTTGTTTTGTATGTTTGAAAAGTCTTTATTTTATCAGGATTTTAAAAAACTCTTTTTTTAACTTTTAAGTTCAGTGGTACATGTGCAAATTTGTTATATAGGTAAACTCGTGTCTTAGGGGGGTGTTTGTTGTACAGATTATTTAATCACCCAGGTATTAAGCCTAGTACCCATTATTTTTTACTGATCCTCTTCCTTCTTACAACCTCCACTCTCTGGTAGGCACAACATTTTTTTAAGCCAGAATCTAATCCAGAGCAAGGCTCTAACTCTCTTCAGTTCTATGAAGACTGAGAGAGGTGAGGAAACTGCAGAAGAAAAGTGTAAAGTTAGCAGAGGTTGGTTCATAATGGCTAAGGAAAGAAACCATCTCTACAACATAAAAATGCAAGGCGAAAAAGCACATGCTCAAGTAAAAGCTACAGCAAGTTATCCGGAAGATCCAGCTAATGTAATCAATTCAGGTGGCTACACTAAACAACAGATTTTCAATGGAGACTGAATAGCTGTATATTGAAGAAAGATGCCATCTAGGACTTTCATAGCTAGAGAGGAGAAGTCAATGCCCGGCTTCAAAGTTTCAAGGGACAGACTAACTCTTTTTGTAGGGACTAATGCAGCTGGTGACTTTAAGTTGATGCCAGTGCTCATTTACCACTCCAAAAATCCTAGGGCCCCAAAGAATTATGCTAAATCTACTCTGCCTGTACTCTATAAATGTGACAACATAGCCTGGATGACAGTGCGTCTGTTTGCAGCATGGTTTTGTGAATATTTTAAGCATACTTTTGAGACCTACTGCTCAGAGGAGGGGGGAAAAAAAAAGAGATGCTTTCAAAATATTATTGCTCATTGACAATACATCTAGTAACCCAAGAGCTCTAATGGAGATCTACAAGGAAGTTAATGTTGTTTTCATGCCTTCTAACACAACATCCCTCCTGTAGCCCAGGGATCAAGGAGTAGTTTCAACTTTCAAGTCTTATTTAAGAAATACATTTCATAAGGCTGTGGCTGCCATAGGTAGTGATTCCTCTGATGGATCTTGTCAAAATAATTTGAAAACTTGCTGCAAAGGACTCATTATTCTAGATGCTATTAAAAACATTCATGACTTATGGACAGAGGTCAAAATATCAACATTAATAGGAGTTTAAAATAAGTTAATTCCAATCCTTGTGGATGACTTTGAGGAGTTTAAGACTTCAGTGGAGGAAGTAACTGCAGATGTGGTGGAAATAGCAAGAGATATAGAATTAGAAGTGGAGCCTGAAGACCTGACTAAATTGCTGCAATCTCATGATAAAACTTTAATGGATGACGAGTTGCTTTTTATGAATGACCAAAGAAAGTGGTTTCTTGAGATGGAATCTACTCCTGGTAAAGATTATGTAAACATTGTCAAAGTGACAACAAAGGATTTAGCATGTTACAACAACTTAGTTCGTAAAGTAGCAGCAGGTTTTGTGAGAATTGACTCCAATTTTGAAAAAAGTCCTACTGTGGATAAAATGTCAACAAACAGCATCACATGCTACAGAGAAATCTCTTATGAAAAGACCAATGAATAGAGGCAGCAAACTTCATTGTCTTATTTTAAGAAATTGCCACAGTCACCCCAGCTTTCATCAATCACCACCCAGATCAGTCAGCAGCTATCAACATCGAGGCAACTCTCTCCATAAGGAAAAATTACAATTCATTGAAAGTTCAGATGATCATTAACAATAAAGCATTTTTTAGTTAAAATATGTATATTGTTTTTGTAGACATAATGCTAATGCACACTTAATAGATTACAATATTATGAAAACAACTTTTATATTCACTGAGAAACCAAAAAAAAAAAAATAGTGTGACTAGCTTTATTTCAATATTTGCTTTATTGTGGGTGGTATGGAACCAAATCCACAATATCTCCAAGGTATGCCCGTAATAGTATATTGTATTCAGAATTTTTGATTAATGAATAGATTGCAGCTGCTCTTGCCATGGGATAGGGAAATGGGTAATTATGGGAGATGATGTATATGTGAATTTGTTTTACTATAGTAACTATTTTATTATATATTACATATTTATTATGTGTATATTATAAGATCATGTTGTATACCTTAAATATACACTAAATATACACAATAAAATGTATTTTTTAAAGTTGTATCATTAACTCTTTTATGAGTAGCACATAAGGGACTTAATAATAAATGTGATATCAGTGCCTGGCGTAAAATAAGTGTTCAATGCATCTTTACCAGATAATACTGTAGGAAAGCATATGGAGACTAAGAAAGTTCAATTCCTTCATTAAAAGAATGTGTTGACCATCTACTATGAGCCATTGTTTAGATAATATACAAAATACATGGGCAGGCCTGGTGGCTCATGCCTGTAATCGCAGCACTTTGGGAGGCTGAGGAGGGCAGATCACTTGAGCCCAGGAGTTCAAGACCAGTCTGGGCAACATGGCGAAACTCTGTCTCTACAAATACAAAAGATTAGCATGGCATGGTAGCACAAGCCTGTAGTCCCAGTTACCCAGGAGGCTGAGGTGGGAGGATCACTTGATCCCAGTGGTCGAGGCTGCAGTGAGCCATGATCACACCACTGCACTCCAGATTCGGCAACAGAGCAAGACCCTGTCTCAAGCAAACAAATTTAGATCCTAACCCATTAAGAGTTCTCAATAAAGTAAAGAAATTTAGAATAGAGTTATATGTTTATTTTATCACACCACACATTTAATTTCTGAAAATATCTAGGAATGACTAGAACTATGATTTATTTAAGAAAATAATATCCCATTTGACTGTGTCCTGCTATATATGGGACTTAGTCTTCTCCTAAAGGTGGAAATGATAGAAAAAGCAGTTTATTTGCTGTGCCTTTTACTAGCCTTGAGGGCTTTGTCTTCATTCATAAGCACCCATGTTTTAAGGAACAGAGCCAGATAGAATTGGAAATTGCACACACATAGGTAGACTTTCAGTGTATTAAGGAATGATTTTCACTTGATCATTGTTTCCAATAAAATAGAAACTGAAGTAGTCCCCTAGAGCATTGTTTGGGGAATGGTGATTTTGTTCTATTGCTTTTATTGACTTGACTCTATGTGTTTTTTTTTTTTTTTTTCCAGAACATCGTTGCCTTTAAATTGTTTAAAATAAGTTAAAACCATAGTGATTAGCTATTTGATGGAATTGGGAAAACAAGTGGAGGCACATCAGAGCATTAATAATGAAAGGGCATTTTAAGGATATACAAAGAGCACAGATGTTCTACAGAGTAACATCAAGTTTTCTCATCTATTAGGGGTTCAT
This sequence comes from Homo sapiens, assembly GCF_000001405.40. Classification (NCBI taxonomy): domain Eukaryota; kingdom Metazoa; phylum Chordata; class Mammalia; order Primates; family Hominidae; genus Homo; species Homo sapiens. The sequence goes on along the minus strand of NC_000010.11, from coordinate 105,869,347 downwards.
ATGTGAAGTTGATAGAGATTGATTATATCTCTCTCACATCCTTACCTGTATTAATCTACTTCACTTTAGGGTAGTCTGAAAACTGCTTACAGACAGTATTTGGCAGGGAACACCCCTTTCAGAGGTAGCTCAATATATTTAAACATTTGATGTTAGCAGCCTGCTAAAGTGAGTTGAAACACAGCCCAGAGTCTGGAGAGGATAAGTATAGGTGAGTGGTTAAGAAGACCGGTTCTAGTAACACATTTCCTGGTTTTAATCATGGCTTTATTACTTAACTATTATAATAACTCTGGGCCTGTTTCTGTATCTGTGCAGTGGAGTTACAAGTAATGTTAATCTTGTTGGGTTGTAATGAGAGTAAAATAACATAGTACAAGAAAAATGCCTACAAGAAGCAGTGCCTGGCAAATAATCTGATAAATGTTATTTATTATTATAGTTCAAGGGCCTCACAAATACATTTCTTGGTGACTAGGTGACACTCTGTGTATCCTGCTTTTTAATAGGTATTTGTATGAAAGAAGAATTATTTCTACATAGGATATGGGAAAAACCAAAAAATCACAAGTGCCTATTAACAAGAACTTGCATTAGAGTACAGACAGACTCTGGGGCCAAGGCTAATGTCCAGCTTTCTCTCTTTTTGTTTTTTTTTTTTTTTTGTCTCTAATAACAATACAAAGAACTCTTTATTTCCCCTATGAACAAAATAGTAGGCTTAGCTAAACCAAGTCCAAAGCTTTTGGAAGAGAAAGACTAGGGGTAGGAGGCCTATGAGTAGTTATGTTGTATAATGCCAGAGAACTCATGCAAGTATAGACTGTTGAGGTCTCAGAGCCCTCAGTAATGGTGCTGTCATCTAGACTTTAGTTAACTTCAGGGGCATTTGCAGAACAAGGCCCTTATTACATTGACTGACAGCCTCATCTCTCCAGTCCCCAAATTTGGAACATACTGGGGCAATTGTAGATTCTTCACTCTCTTGGAGGAAGCTATTAATGGACACCCAGTAAATCATCTTCATTCTAGAAAGGCATGAACACTCTACCCTGTTTTGATGGCTATCTGAAGCATGATTTGGGTTTCATCACATCCACCTTACCAAAATAGATATTTTGGGGAGAAAGAACTACATATTTTAAAATATGGAAGTGTGAAAAGTACACTGGTTTTCTATAAATATATGTCAATGGCTTTAGCTTATTGCTCCCATTGTCCTCAAACTGCAACATAAGTGACACATGTTGACTGTGTCTTTAATTAAAGTGGGATATATAACTGATATAATGGTAAAAGCCTCAGTTGATGGCCCAATTCTGTGTGCTTGAGACTTGACTTCACTACTTATCAATTTTGTCAACTTGGACAATTTGTTGGTTTCTGTAAGCCTCAGGGGTTGAACCTACTGGTCTAATAGCGAGACATTGATTGTATCTATTTATTGGGTCGTTGGAAGGATTCAATGTGGTGATATATTCAAAGTGTTCAGCATAGTACGTGGTTATGCATAAATGCTCAAAGACTTTGGCTATTAATTTCCAGGCTGTGAGTAGCAAATTAAATAGCATTTATAAAGCTGCTTTTACAAGTGGAAATAAAGCACAAAGATATAAATTCCTGTAAGATGTTTTGCTTATACTGTTGAAAAATAGGTTCTACCAGAAAAAATTAAGATATCTGAAAATTTCTCTTAAAATGAGATTCTTAGAAACTGAAGAATATCCAAAAATATCTAGGAATGACTAGAACTATTTATGTTCATGTTCACCTTATTTTTATTTTTAATCGATATATAATACTTGTACATATTTTAGTGGTACATATGATATTTTGATACCTGTATACAGTGTGTAATCAACAAATCAGGGTAATTGGGAAATCTATAACCTTAAACATTTACCTTTTTTTTGTATTAGAGCATTATAATTCTTCTCTTCTAGCTATTTGAAATACACAATAAATTATTGCTAACTCTGATTTCCTTACTGCACTATCAAATATTAGAATGTATTTTTTAACTGGAAATTCAAATTTATTTCCTTCCATTCAACTGTTGCTGAATATATTTTAGTAAATATTAAACTATGGGAAATTCTTTAGTCATTGTTAATTTGAACAGTGCTTTCCAAATTTGGATTATTATCCAAATTGTCCAGTGGCTTTTCATACAGATTCCTGGAATCTATCCTAAGAAATTATGAAATGTGAATCGATAAGTTACAGAAATGTTTTGAAAAACTTTCAGAATTGATTCCAATGACTTGTGAGATTTTTGTAAAAAACTAAATTCCATCATATGTTTCAGGTCAGGGCTGAAGTCTACACATTTTTTTGCTTTACACTCATGAAGTCAAATATAGTTTTTTTGTGTAAAATCTCTCTGACTTGTAATTTTTTTTTCTTTGGCCTGCATCTATCCTAGTCTAAATCATGATCTTAGTCTAAATCAGTACCTAACCTATCACTGATGTAGCTTCATAGCTGTCACTCTACCTCTAGTATCTCTGTACTCAAAGTCATCCTTCCCTTAGGACCTGGCAATTCCATTGTCATTTTCTTTAATAAGTAGTGAAAATGTATTTTGTAGCAAAGAAAGGTAAGATGCAGTCAGGGGTTAAATATGAGGTAGGTGACCACTATGGATCAAATAGTGTTCCCCCAAATTTTTATGCTGAAACCCTAACCTCAAATATGACTGTATTTAAGCTTTTAGGAGGTAATTAAGGTTAATGAGGTCATAAGGATAGGGTCTTAATCTGATAGAATTGGTGGCCTTGTAAGAAGAAGAGAGCAATATCTATCTCTCCAGCCACCTACATGCACTGATCAAAGGCCACATGAAGACACAGCAAAAAGTTATCTGTCTGCAAGCCAAGAAAGAGCCCTCTCCAGAACCCAACCATGCTGGCACCCTGATCTCAGACTTCCATTGTCCAGAACACATTAAAAAACAAATTTCTGTGGTTTAAGCCACCAAGTCTATGCTATTTTGTGACAACAGCCTGAGCTGACTAATGCAGTGATAAACAGCGAAATGATTATTTTGAGTATATACGTATTAGATTTTGTAGGAACAGATAAGACAGTATAATATGACAGCCAGGTACAAATAAGTAAAGATGCCACTAGCACTGCTATGTAATATAAATAATTCTATATAATACATGAGAAAAGTCAATTGTTCATTGTTGCTACTAATCTTCCATATTCGAGCAGAAGCAGAGTCCAGGTAAACATGAGAAGAATGGTGTTCTGCTGTATTCTGCAGAGGGCAGATGGTTTGATGCCTAGAGCTAACAAAACCTCTCTTGAAGCCATCCAATCAACTCCTGTCCTTCATATGCAAACTCAATCCAAGAGACCACGTGGAATAAAGGATCCTTATGCTTCTTTCCCACCCTTCTTATTTTCTCTAAGACACATTTTGATAAGTGCAAATACCTTGTGGCTTCATATTTGCATAATAAATGCTGCTTTTTTGACATGGAGATGTGGATCAAGGAGATGAAAAGACCTTGTGACTCAGAATATAAAATTTCATCTGTGTTAGAATCAAAATCTATTTACATATTTTGGTTTTATTTAATGTTTTTCAAATATAAAGAAATAAACTTTTCTAAAGGTACATTGATAATTCTATTTCTTGAGAACTAGAAATACATATCACATTTAAATGTAAAGTGTGTATGTTTTTTATGTTTATGTTTTCTATCATCAAAGCAAAAATCCAGAGATGAATCTTTCAGCCTAGGCATACAGGCAGAATACAGGTGTGTGGGGCCATTTACAGTTGCTAGGTTCAGTGCAGTACCCAGGTTGTCATTTTTGAATTTTACCACTGGACATAAATGGAAGTTATTGATCTTCTGCCCCACTAATATAATAAAAATTCATTTTTTGGGTTATTTTGTTGCTACTCTGCAACTTATAGAATGGTGTGTGGTAAAAGTTGACGTGAATGAATGTCACAATATATATTAAAGAAATTTAAAGGAGAGAACAAAAATGCAATGATCTAAGGACTGAAGGAGCCTACATGGAAAACTAGGCTTGATAGTTGGGTATGGTTTGAATTTGCAGGGATTTCCAGTCAAGAAGATCAATGTATACATGGTATTGGAAGCAAACTCTAAACATGGTTTAAATTAACTGGTTTAAATATTTGGTTTTGTGTTTGCTGCTTATTTTTTCTGTGTACATTTTAATTGAGGTATATCATGAAGTGCACAACATCTTGTGTACTTCACAAGTATGTATATCATGAAGTACACATACTTGTGTAACTACTAAAGAGATGGATGATATAGGCATCTTCAGCACCCAACTTTGCTCCTTTATACTCCTTTCCAGGCAATATTCAAGCTCCCACCAAATCTTGTGACTTCTGTTACTTACAACAATTTCCTTCCTTCCTTCCTTCCTTCCTTCCTTCCTCCCTCCCTCCCTCCCTTTCTGAGTTTTGCTCTGTCGCCAGGCTGGAGTGCAGTCGCATGATCTCTGCTCACTGCAACCTCCATCTCCCGGGTTCAAGCGATTCTCCTGCCTCAGCCTTCTGAGTAGCTGGGACTACAGGAGCACACCATCACACCTGACTAATTTTGTATTTTTAGTAGAGACAGGGTTTCTCCATGTTGGTCAGGATGGTCTCGAACTCCTGACCTCATGATCTGCCCACCTCAGCCTCCCAAAGTGCTGGGATTACAGGTGTAAGCCACTGTGCCCAACCACTTAGAATAATTTTCTAATTCTTGATCGTCATAGACAGAAAATCATGTAATACACACATTTTTTCATCTAGCTTCTTTCAGGGCTTTGAGATGCATACATGTTGCTTTCATGTAGCTCTGGACTGCCCAATTTAAGTGCTTTTTAGTATTTCATTGTATGAATAAACCAAAATGTACTATTCATTCTCTGGTGGATATTCAGATTGGGTTTTTTTTATTTTCAGTTTTGATCTTCTGTGAACATTCTTGTAATTGTCTTTCAGTGAGAACAGGCTTTCATATTTTCTGGAAATATGCCTGGGAGTACACATGCTGGTTCATAAGGCAGGTATATGTTTTACTTCAAATGAAATTGCCAAACAGTTTACAAACATGGTTGTAAATATTTACTTTTCCAGCAGCAGTGTATAAGAGGTCCAGTGTCCCACACCTTCATCAACATTTAGTTTTGTCAGTCTTGTAATTTTTACTGTCTTGACGGGCAGATAGTATTTTGTGTAGTTTTAATTTTCATATTCCTCATGAATAATGCTGTTGAGATCCATTTTGTATGGTTTTTGAACATTACGTATCTCTTTGGTGAAGTATCTGTTGAATATTTTGCCCTTTTAATGATGTTGCCCTTTTTGTATTGATTTATAAATGTTATTTATATATCTAGATATTAGCTTTTGGTAAAATGTATGCACCCAAAAACATCTTTTACCAGTCTAAGATTTGCCTTTTCTCCCTCTTTATAGTATTTTATGATGAAAGAAATACTTAGTAAAATGATTTTATTCTTTTTCAAAATTTTAGTGTATCTGTTTTATATATTTTGAATTTTTTATTACAACAAATTTAGAATTATCTTTCCTATAGTCTGGTTTTTTCATTACGAAATATCTTTCTATAATTCTAGTAATACTTGCTCTGTTAAAGTTTATAGTGTCTCATTTTGGTATAATTACCCAAGTTTTCTTTTGGTTAGTGTTTATACCTTTTTTAATCCTTTTGTTCTCTGTTCTTTATTTCAGTTGTGTCTCTTATAAGCACTAACGTTTTTATCCTGCTAAAAATCTATATCCTTTAACTGAATTATTAATATTTAGATTTTCTACATTTAATGCAATAGGTAGTATATTTGAGTTTATATTTACCATAATAATATTCATGTCTACATTTCCCATGTGTTTTTATTCTCTATTTTATATTTTGTTCTTTTTTCTCACCTTTGTTTGCATTAATCAAATATTGTTATTATTGGCCAGGCATGGTGGCTCACACCTGTAATCCCAGCACTTTGGGAGGCCGAGGTGGGTGGATCACAAGGTCAGGGTTTCGAGACCAGCCTGACCAACATGGTGAAACCTTGTCTCTACTAAAAATACAAAAAATGGCTGGGCGTGGTGGTGGCCGCCTGTAATCCCAGCTACTCAGGAGGCTGAGGCAGGAGAATTGCTTGAACCTGGGAGGCGGAGGTTGCAGTGAGTCGAGATCGCGCCACTGCATTCCAGCCTGGGTGACAGAGCGAGACTGTCTAAAAAAAAAAAAAATTGTTATTATTGTTATCATTATTATCATATTCTTGTTTCTGTTGACTAGAGTAATATACTTTTGTTGTTGTTATTAGTTTAGGGTTATCCTAGACAGTACAATGTGTATCATGTAAACATTTTGATTCTGATGTAAATTTTAGTACCTCCTGGACAATGCCAGAACCTCATAAATTTTAACTTCATTTATCGCCTTCATATTTATGTGCTATTGTTGTCCCTTATTTTATTTGTAAATTTTAATTATATAATACATTTTAATTAATTTGCATAAACAAACATAAATTGACTCATATTTATACATGTATTGCTTTTGATTACCTCCCATTTTATTGTGCTTCCAACTAATATTTTTGCATGAAGAATTTGCTCTAGCATTTTGGATGAGAGTGAGATTGTTGACATAATATTTATCTGCTTTTATTTGCCTGAAAATGTTGATTTTGCCTTAATTTTTGAAGGATGTTACTGAAGGATATAGAATTTTAGGCTGTCCACAATATTATTTTAGCCCATTCTGGATAACATTTTATTTCTTCCTATATCCGGTCTCATTCACAAATGAGTTGTCTATCTTTTTGCTACTCTTTTAAGAGTAATAATATTCTCTTTGGCTTATTTAAAGACTATGTCTTTATATTTGATCCTTAATAGTTTTTTAATGTATTTTTCTAGTGTGCCTATGTGTATTTTTCTTTGATTACCCTGTTTGAGTCCATAGTCTATCATCAAATATAAATTTTGGGGGAGGGGGTCAATATCTCTTCAAATATTGTGTATTTCTTTGTCTCATCTCCATCAAGACTCCAAAATGCATTTCTTAGCTTTTTGTTGTATGGTTCATCAGCCCTTACTCTCTTTTCTGTATTTTTCATCCCTTTAAAAAAATCTTCATTCTGAATATTTTGTCCTGGCTTCTTTTTCTAATTCATTAATCTTTTCTTCTAATTTGTCTAATATACTATTACACCCATTACTTGTTTTTTAATTTAATTTATGGTATTTTTTGTTCAGTAATTTCCCCTTTTTATTCTTATTTATTTATTGAGATGGAATCTCGCTCTTGTCTCCCAGGCTACAGTGCAGTGGCATGATCTTGGCTCACTGCAACCTCCGCTTCTGGAGTTCAAGCCATTCTCCTGCCTCAGCCTCCTGAGTAGCTGGGATTACAGGCATGGGCCACCATGCCCAGCTAATTTTTGTATTTTTAGTAGAGACGGAGTTTCACCATATTGGCCAGAGTGGTCTCAAACTCCTGACCTCAGGTGATCAACCCGCCTTGGCCTCCCAACATGCTGGAATTACAGGCGTGAGCCACGGTGCCCAGTCTTATCTTTTGTACATCTAGCTCTTTGGTAAAATTTATTATCCTGTTATTTTTTTTTCTTAAAAAATTAAGTATCAGTTGTTTTAAAATCTGTATCTGAAAAGTACAGATCTGAGTCTATTTCTATTTTATGGTTGGTTTTTATTGTTGTTTGGTTTGATATTTTGTTTGTTATTTTTCCCTCTCTTCTTATTGGATTGTTACTTGGTCCTGTCTCCAGGTATATCTGGTGTTCTTGTTTCAAGCTGAATTCTGGCTATATGGACGAGAATTTTCAAAGACTCTAAGGTGTTATCTGTATCTAGAGAGGGTTTTGTGTTCTCCTTGTATATTTAATGTAAAGGAAGATGGCCTTAATCCAGTTAGCTTTTCAAGTGACTCAAGCCTGCAGCTCAGTCTTTGTGAAGGTCTGTCTGGAATGTATGCACTGTGTGGAGGTAACGTTTTACATTCTCAACTGAAAATCTGGGTTTTACCAGGGCTTAAACTCTCTGTTGCTGTCTGCTCCAATTTTCATTCTCTCAGTACTGTGAGATTACCAAAAGCTCAGCCTAGCTTTTCAGATTCTTACCTTTCCCTTTCTCCTGCCTTCTGGCCTTCTTGCCTCACAAAAGTTAGGAGGCAGCAAATGCCCTGTGGAAAAGTGCTGCTGAACACCAGGCTTCCTCGTACAGGCTTCCTTTGCTCCAGGATTTTGGCCTTGGTAATACCAATTTCTAGTTTTTATGTCCCCAGCCCTGTGAGACTGCTGAAAGCTCAGATCCCACAATTTTGATGATCCTCTTATCCCAGTGTTTAGAAATGACAACTGCCTTGAGGGAAAAAAATGACAGAGAATTTATGGCTTACATCACTGTGCCACCAATCACTTAGGGCTCAAGATCCCTTAATTCCTCACCCTCTTGGTTGATTTCTGGTGCCTTCAAAAAGCTGTTTTGGTATTTCTTTCAACTTGTATAGCTTTTCTCTGTAGATATGGTTTGATTAAAGTTACTCTGCCTTACCGAAAAGTATTTTTCGCTTGCAGTCTTTTTAATTTTGTCAAGTAATCAGGTATCAAGGTGTACAGTTTACAAAATGAACTAAACTGAATATGACAATCAAACCTTTATTTACCGACTGAGACAGTACTAGCAACGGGCCAAATTAGCCCCCCTATTCTGTTCCATTGCTTCACGGGGAAGGGAACCAGGAAAGGGTCAGGTGGATGCTGCACAGACATAGGGGAATCATCCCACTGCTAGGGATCCCTGAACAAAACGATCTTGTCTCTTTATGGACCCCTGGGCAGAGGCAAGGGTACAGGGAAGGCATAGGAGTGAAAAGGTACTGAGTCAAACTGGAACAAAGTTCTTCAGCCAAAAGCCCCAATAAGGTAAACTTGGTGAAGATGCCAAAGAAGGGCCTTACCTGAGGCACCTAATAAGGTGGTGTATTAGTCAAGGTTCTCTAGAGGGACAGAGCTAATGCTATATATATTGCATATATATATATATAGAGAGAGAGCATATATATATTGCATATATATAGCATATGTATACTATATATATAGCATATATATTGCATATATATAGCATATATATTGCATATATATAGCATATATATTGCATATGAAATATAATGCTATATATATATATATATATATATATATATATATATATATATATATGAGTTTATTAAGTATTAACTTACATGATCACAAGGTCCCACAATAGGCCCTCTGCAGGCTGAGGAACAAGGAGAGCCAGTCCAAGTTCTAAAACTGAAGAACTTGGAGTCTGATGTTTGAGGGCAGGAAGCATCCAGCACAGGAGAAAGAGGTAGGCTGGGAGGCTAGACCAGTCTCTCTTTTCACATTTTTCTGCCTGCTTATATTCTAGCTGATCTGGCATCTGATTAGATGATGCCCACCCAGATTAAGGGTGGGTCTGCCTTTCCCAGCCCACTGACTCAAATGTTAATCTCCTTTGGCAACACCCTCACAGACACACCCAGGATCAATACTTTGCATCCTTCAGTCCAATCAAGTTGACACTCAGTATTAACCATCACAGGTGGCTTCTTAATAAAGGGCTGAGTCCTTGACTGCAATTTCCTTCCTTCATATCCGGGCACTTGCTGAATACCAAGTCTGGTGTGTGAAGGGTGACTTCCTCCCATGAGGGACAGGCAAATCTTTGTTAATTACCTTTTGTTAATTGAAGGATCACACATAAGATTTTGGCCTATAGCCAAAATGAAACATGAGGAGCCAGTGCATCTCTATCCCCCATAAGGCTACTGTTCAAGCCATACACATTCCTCAGCCCCATCTACTTTCACTTTCTATGGTTTTTTGTTGTTGTTAGAAAGTTCAGTACACCCTACTTGGCTAAGTATACACCATTTCCTCCTGATTCAGGAGTCTATCTTCCTATGAAGGTAACTCCAGGCATTGACAATCCAGGCCCTATATTTAGAGTCTGTTAGGTTCATTCAACATCCAATTTCTTTTATGGGCAAGAGTTAAACTTCATTTTGTTAATACATACATTATATCTATATTTTTATACGTATGTATATATAAAATATGTGCATATATATGCACACATAATATATGTACATATGTAATAAATAATATGTATATGTTAACAAGTTGATAGATGATTCTCTGAGAGAAATTTTATATACAGGCTAGTTTTTAAAATTTAGTAGAATAGTAGAGAAATAAATTTTACAACTTCTACATCTGCAAGGGTTTATCCTTCTGTCTTGATTTTTAAAGATATCTTTATTCCTTCCTGTTAAAGAAGAAATGCCTGAAATCTGTAGTCCCTGGATGACACTGTTTGAGGTTTTACGTTCAAAAGTATGAGTAGTATCTCTTAAATTCTGTTTACTTATTAGGGGATTTAGTCAGCCCAGGAGTCTGACTTAGCACAACCCCTCCTTAGTAGAAAATGGCTCCCAGTGGTGGTGTTGTAAGGCTAATTTTCTGGTCATTAGACAAGAGAAGATGACTTAAATTTTAGTAAAGCAATCTTGTACGGCAGAAATATATCATATTGTTGCATGCAGCTAAAATAATCATACCTACTACTCTGTGCAAGATAAGTGTTTCCCCAAATCTGCTTTCATTTCCATTAGTGCTGCATCATCATCCTTTCTCCCATATCAGATTTATAGCATGTATACAGTCTGAGGAAATAAGATTTGGAGTTTCTATTAATCATGTAACTTTCAGCCCAAACTCCCTGACCTAGTAACTCTCAATTTCTTTGTCTATTTTAACATTTCAACAAAATAAAAATGATTCTCACTTGTCCCTATCCCTCATCCCCACCATGGCACACACACCCATTGCCTGGTTTAATCAGGTGCTGCAGTCATTCTCCAACATTTACTAAAGGAAAGGAGGGATGCAATCAGATTTGGTGAGGTCTTCAGGCTGCGTTTCAGGAGTGACCGCTGACATTGCAACATTGACGGTGGCTACAAACACATGCGCACAAGATCATTAATATGGAAGACAAAGTTAGATGCAATAGTCCTCTGCTTTATCTGGGACTCAACACTTCCCTTATTTTTGATCCTTGAATCTGAGAACTAAAGTCTGTTTACTGATATAAGGGCTCCAACAAACTAAGGAAGAAGGCCATGTAAATGTGCTAAGATGAACACCACACAGGCTATTCAAGGCATGTGTGCATGTGGAGTAGCAGGAAAATGCTGGCAAGAGCATCTTGAACCTTTCAGGTAAACCTAAAATGAGGTCAACTTCTCTGTGACATGTTTCTTATCTTTAAGTTCAAAACCTGAAGTTCAATTTAGTGAAATCTTTGTGGTTTTTCAAAACTAGTAAGATTACCTTCTGAGTCTCTCAAGGTCAGGAAGTATTTCTACCTTATCAGTTACGTCTTTGCTCTTATATTCTACATTGCCTTGCCAGGAGTGCTCACATAAAAGGAATTTAATATTTGTTTATTCTTGGTAGAGAATTCAGAAATCTTTCTCAACCTTAACTCCCACTGATAAGAAGAAATAGGGCATGGAAGAGGGAGTTCTAAGACCACCTCTCCCATGTGTCCAACCCCAAGGACTCCTAGGTTATCCTCCTGTGTTTTCCTTGGACATTGAATGCCTTTAAGATATCTTGGTACTTTACCAATATACAATTGCTGATTAGACGATTAGACACACAGTTTCCGTCTTTTTCTTGAGCATGTAGAGTTTGGCTGTAAATCTTTCACTATTCTGTATGCAGCCTGCTTAGCAGGCTTGTTAACTGCAACACAAGAGGGTAAGCATTTGCAAATAAAGCATCTGTCCTCTCAAATCAATCCATGTGCCCAGAGCTTACAAATCTGAGTATGTAAACACCAGCAGTACTACACAAAGTAGACATGGGCTCTAACCGTAGCAGAGGATTATTTATATGGAACTTTTTAGCAAAAATTACTGAAATAAAAATAATTTCAGGGGTAAATTTTGAGAGTTGGCTTTTTAAAGTATGCATTCCCTTGAAATAAAATCCATACTATTAACAAACATGTTCACAAATCAAGTTTACAGCTAGATACATTTTCATAAAAAGAAACAAAACCTTCCAACATACACAAGGATCAAGAAACAAAAATTACCACCACTCCAGACCACGCTCGTTCATTTCTGAACTTATATAAATGGGTTCAAGCAGTTTGTCCTCTTCTGTGTCTGACTTATTGTATTCAATATTGTGAGAGTCATGTGCACTTTTGCTTGAATTGTAGTTTATCATTATTTCGGTCTACTTTGTATTATGTGAATATACTACAATTTAATCATTCTACTATTAGACGTTTTACTTTCCTTTAGTTTGGAGATTATTAAGAAGAGTGTTGGCACGAGCAGTCCTGTGTGCTTTTTGGTAAACATACGTCCTCCAATTTGTTGGGTAGAATTCTGAAAACTCAGGAGTAGAATTTCTTGGTGAAAGTTTATACATATGATCATCTTAGATATTGCCAAATACTTTTCTAAAGTAGCTATGGAACACTAGTGTTCTATATATAGATATATTTTCATGAATAGAAACAAAACCTTCCAACATACACAAGGATCAAGAAACAAAAATTACCAGCACTCCAGACCACTATATATATATATACACATACATATATAGTGTTCTATATATAGTGTTCTACAACTAGTTTTAGAAAAAAATAATGTATATACACATTTCCATATACAGAAACATTTTTATATATGTAATATATATATAATATATATTCTATATATATTATATATATATTATATAATATATATTATATGTAATATATTATATAATATATATTATGTAATATATATATAATATATATTATATGTAATATATATATTATATATATTATATGTAATATATATTATATATATTATATGTAATATATATTACATATATTATATGTAATATATATATTATATGTAATATATATTATATGTAATATATATTATATATATATTATATGTTATATATAGAATATATATGTAATATATATAGAAATATTCCTAAATAGATTCTATATTTAGAAATATTTTTCTAAAGTAGTTATGAAACACTATATATATAATTGTGTGTATATATATAAAATTATATATATATATGCAATTTTTATCATTTAAAGCATAATTTTTAAAAGTGGTAATACAGATTTATCCTCCCTCAGAAGAGTGTGATACTCTCAGCTGCTTCATGCCTCCACTAATGCTTTGGTATTCCCTGTTTTTACAGTTCACCCATTCTGGCAGGCACTCAGTTGCAGAGCATTGTGGTTTTACTATAACAACATGAAGTTGGGAAACTTTTCAATGTGTTTTCATCATTTGAATAGCCTTCGTTGTGAAGTATTCATTCGAGTTGTTTGCCCATTTTTAGTTGGTCTCTTTTACCCTATCTTATTGATTCTGGGAAGTTTTTAATAAAATTTTTGATGAGTCCTTTGCTTTGTCAATCTCATTACATGACTTACCAATGGTATATTTGGATTAACAGAAGTTCTTATTTAAAGTAATGCAAATTTCCATTTTATTACATAGTAGTACATTTTGTGTCCTGTTTATGAAATCTGTTTATCCCCAGTGTCATGAAAATAGCCTATATTTTTTTCTAAAACTTTTATGATTTTACCTTTTATTTATAGATCTACAATATACCTATAATTGATTTTTATAAAGAATGGGATATGAGAGTCAAGATTCCTTTTTTACCCTATATAAGTGTTTAATTGGTTTAGCCACAGTTATTGAAAAGGCCATCTTTTTCCCTACAACACATTAGTGTCATTTTGTCATAAACTAGGTAAGTCTGCTTGTGAGCTCTCTATTCTATTCCACTGGTTTATTTATTTATTCTCAGAGCAATAACATCCTGTCTTGATTATTATAGCTTTAAAATAAGCCTGAATATTTGGTAGTATGATACTTCAGCTTTGTTGTTTTTCTTCAAGTTTTTCTTGCCTATTCTTGAGCAATTTTCTTGGCTATTCTTGAGTTTTGTATTTCCATATAAATTTTAGAATCAGCTTGTCAATTTCTACCCCTAAAACCTTTGGCAATAACTGATTGAAATTCTTTTAAATCTATAGGTCAATTTGGTAAGAATGAGCATCTTCATAATATTAAGTTTTCAATACAAAATATGATGTATTATTACATCTTATTAGGTCTTCTCTAATTCCTCACAGTAATGTTTGTAACATTTGGTGGAGAGGTCTTGCACATCTTTTATTAGATTCATTTCTAGGTATTTGATGTTATTTGAAGCTATGGGGATGAGTTCAGCTTTAATCTGAAATATTATGAACTAGAACCTACATCTTTAGAGAAAAACATTGGCAAAGAATAGTCAAATAGTGAGAGCGCTACCTATCCACTGACAGGTCATTCTTAATATCCAATATACAAAGTTGAATGTAAAGTTAGTACAAATGTTCTAAAATTAGACTGTCCAGATTTGGAACCTTAACTCTACCATTAATACATGTATAGTGTTTGGTATTTTATTATTATTTCTGTGCATCCGTTTCCTCATCTGTAAAATGGGGTGATGACAATATGTACCTCCTTGTGTCTTCAGCGGCTTAGAGACACCTCTTGCAAAGCACCTAACATAGAGTCTAGCAAATAATAAGTGCTAAATAGATGATTATGATTTTATGATAATGAAGATGATGATAATGGTGATAGTTGTCATGATTTTAATGATAATAATTATCATTACATATTTATGAGTCTTGAAGAAAATTTTTTTCCCTCCGTTACTGGTCTTGTTCAGAACTCATCACACATGTTTGAAGGGCACTGCTGTTATCTGTACCTTCTATACTCATATATCTGCAGGTCCTGAAGATGTACACATGACTTTTCTCTAGCAAATCACATTTGGAGGGTCAGCAATTCACCAAGCCCCTCCTTGATTTTCATGTTAATTATAACACTATATTGGTACATTTCAACAAAATAACATAATTTAGAAAAGATATCCTTACACAGTTATCCCAGAAAGTATCAGACTTGATTTACATTACAAAAGAACACCACTTGGAGTGTGTTGAAGTCATCACGGAGTGTTGGAGTGTACTGAAATATCTTGAAAGAGGTAAGTGAAACAGATAGATATTTCTATGTTGCTCTTTTTTCCCTTTGTGTTTTTTGTTTGTTTGTTTGTTTGTTTTACTGTTTGCGCAAAGGCATTTGCCTGAATGAATAATCTCTTGTAGATTATCAACTTACGTTTTTAAAATTCTGTTGACAGAAATTGAAATTTGGACTCTACCACCTGCATTCCTAAATATCCTCTGAAGTATTTCCTCTCTGTTAACCAAGCAGTTATATGCAATGCAATATATAAGGTAGAAGTTCTTGCACCTTTGTGCTCTTGCTACTGCTCCCGCCTCTTCATGCGCTTTGTCTAGTAAAGAACTGCATGTGAATCACAAGCCCTACTTCTTCTCTAAAGCCTTTCCTGGATTGTAGTTTTTCCCTTTGAAGTCTTTATGTCCCATGATTATGCAACAACAAAAATAATAGTAACAATTTTCTCTGAGGTATCTTAAATCTTTCCACTTTCCACGTTCACAGACTCTACATGTACAAAGGTCAGTATGTGTATCTTTTCAGTGACTATATTATTCATAATATGTAGTACATTTCTTTTAGGATTTGAGCCCAGCTTATGCCCCTACCCCATTTTGAGGTATTTCTTTCCACAGAAAGGGCCCTCTGTCATGTTTGCACTCTCTGCATAGTCTGTGTCCTGGCCATTGTTAAGAGGATCAGAAAAAGGGACTGAACCCTATACAGGCTGATATAATTTGTCCTGAGAATCTGAAGCAAGGTTCAGAGGTACTAGTTGTTTTTGGCACATGCTAAAACTGAGAAGTGTTATGAAGTCAGGATGAGAGCGGCCACATCTGGCATATTCATGCCATGGAGGGAAAGTCAGTCTAGAGAGAAGAAATGTGGAGCTGTCACTTTGAAACAAATCAGTAAGTCCATGGGGTGCTAAAGAAAGTGAAAGAGTGACACTTGATTCTAACTTTCTGTTTATTGATTCAATTCCTCAGGACTCTGTATGTAATTATTTACCTTTGGATTACCTGTCTTTCTAAGATATTCCCCAAATTCTTTCAATATATTCTCTTCCCTCCCCCATTTTATGTATAGCAATTTATGCTTTTCAGCTACTTGCAGCTAAAAAGAGTCTTAACAAATATATGGCAAGATTATGCATGAGAGATCAGACAATTCCCCCTTCCTCACCTCAGCGACCTTTCCAGATTGTCCTTAGCAAAGCTACGGACGAGAGGAGGGTGGATTCCACTTGGAATTCTGACATCCTAGGCTTTCTCCTTTTCCCATTTCTTTTACCCTCAGTCTCTTTTCTCTCAAATGTACTTATTACACTCATGTTTCAAGTCTAAATATCTTAACACTCTTGGGAAATGTGCATTTTAACACAGAAATCTGCAGATGTAGGTTAATACAAAGAAATGCCACAATTAATATAATTCATATATTAATACTTCCTCATATTTATGTGAGATATGCACATATACATCATCTCACTTGGTTTTTTTTGTTTATGAGATGTGAATTTTTTTATTATTATACTTTAAGTTCTAGGGTACATGTTCACAAAGTGCAGGTTTGTTACATAGGTATACATGTGCCATGTTGATTTGCTACACCCATTAACTCGTCATTTACATTAGGTATTTCTCCTACTGATATCCCTCTCCCAGTCCCCACCCCCCAACAGACCCCAGTGTGTGATGTTCCCCACCCTGTGTCCAAGTGTTCTCACTGTTCACTTCCCACCTATGAGTGAGAACATACGGTGTTTGGTTTTCTGTCCTTGTGATAGTTTGCTGAGAATGATGGTTTCCAGCTTCATCCATGTCCCTGCATAGGAAATGAACTCATCCTTTTTTATGGCTGTATAATAGTATTCCATGGTGTATATGTGCCGCATTTTCTTAATCCAGTCTATCAATGATGGACGTTTGGGTTGGTTCCAAGTTTTTGCTATTGTGAGTAGTGCCGCAATAAACATACGTGTGCATGTGTCTTTATAGTAACATGATTTATAATCCTTTGGGTATATACCCAGTAATGGGATCGCTGGGTCAAATGGTATTTCTAGTTCTAGATCTTTGAGGAATTGCCACACTGTCTTCCACAATGGTTGAACTAATTTACACTCCCACCAACAGTATAAAAGCGTTCCTATTTCTCCACATCCTCTCCAGCATGTGTTGTTTCCTGACTTTTTAATGATCACCATTCTAACTGGCATGAGATGGTATCTCATTGTGGTTTTGATTTGCATTTCTCTGATGACCAGTGATGATGAGCATTTTTTCATGAGTCTGTTGGCTGCATAAATGTCTTCTTTTGAGAAGTATCTGTTCATATTCTTCGGCCACTTTTTGATGGGGTTGTTTGTTTTTTTCTTGTAAATTTGTTTAAGTTCTTTGTAGATTCTGGATATTAGCCTTTTGTCAGATGGATAGATTGCAAAAATTTTCTCCCATTCTTTAGGTTGCCTTTTCACTCTGATGGTAGTTTCTTTTGCCGTGCAGAAGCTCTCTAGTTTAATTATATCACATTTGTCTATTTTGGCTTTTGTTGCCATTGCTTTTGATGTTTTAGTCATGAAGTCCTTGCTCATGCCTATGTCTTGAATGGTATTGCCTAGATTTTCTTCTAGGGTTTTTATGGTTTTAGGTCTAACATTTAAGTCTTTAATCCATCTTGAATTAATTTTTGTATAAGGTGTAAGGAAGGGATCCAGTTTCAGCTTTCTACATATGACTAGCCAGTTTTCCCAGCACCATTTATTAAATAGGGAATCCTTTCCCCATTTCTTGTTTTTGTCAGATTTGTCAAAGAGCAGATGGTTGTAGATGTGTGGTGATATTTCTGAGGCCTCTGTTCTGTTCCATTGATCTATATATCTGTTTTGGTACCAGTACCGTGCTGTTTTGGTTACTGTAGCCTTGTAGTATAGTTTGAAGTCAAGTAGCGTGATGCCTCCAACTTTGTTCTTTTTGCTTAGGATTATCTTGGCAATGTGGGCTATTTTTGGTTCCATATGAACTTTAAAGTAGTTTTTTCCAATCCTGTGAAGAAAGTCATTGGGAGCTTGATGGGAATGGCATTGAATCTATAAATTACCTTGGGCAGTATGGCCATTTTCATGATATTGATTCTTCCTATCCATGAGCATGAAATCTTCTTCCATTTGTTTGTGTCCTCTTTTATTTCATTGAGCAGTGGTTTGTAGTTCTCCTTGAAGAGGTCCTTCACATCCCTTGTAAGTTGTATTCCTAGGTATTTTATTCTCTTTGTAGCAATTGTGAATGGGAGTTCACTCATGATTTGGCTCTCTGTCTGTTATTGGTGTATAGGAATGCTTGTAATTTATGCACACTGATTTTGTATCCTGTACTCTTTTTTTCTCTAAACTTCTCACTTTATTTCATTAATTTGATCTTCAATCACTGATACCCTTTCTTCCACTTGATTGAATCAGCTATTGAAGCTTGTGCATGCATCATGAAGTTCTCTTGCCATGGTTTTCAGCTCCATCAGGTCATTTAAGATCTTCTCTACACTGTTTATTCTAGTTAGTCATGTGTCTAACCTTTTTTCAAGATTTTTAGCTTCCTTTCAATGGGTTCGAACATGCTCCTTTACCTCAGAGAAGTTTGTTATTACCGACCTTCTGAAGCCTACTTCTGTCAACTTGTCAAAGTCATTCTCTGTCCAGCTTTGTTCTGTTACTGGCAAGGAGCTGTGATCCCTTGGAGGAGAAGAGGCGCTCTGGTTTTTAGGATTTTCAGCTTTTCTGCTCTGGTTTCTCCCCATTTTTGTTGTTTTATCTACCTTTGGTCTTTGATGTTGGTGACCTACACATGGGGTTTTGGTGTAGACGTCCTTTTTGTTGGTAATGATGCTATTCCTTTCTGTTTGTTAGTTTTCCTTCTAACAGTCAGGTCCCTCAGCTGTAGGTCTGTTGGAGTTTGCTAGAGGTTCACTCCAGACACTGTTTGCCTGGGTGTCACCAGTGGAGGCTGCAGAACAGCAAATATTCCTGCCTGGTCCTTCCTCTGGAAGCTTCGACCCAGAGGGGCACCTGTCTGAATGAGGTGTCTGTCTGCCCCTACTGGGAGGTATCTCCCAGTTAGGCTACATGAGGGTCAGGGACCCACTTGAGGAGGCCATCTGTCCATTCTCAGAGCTCAAATGCCACACTGGGAGAACCACTGCTTGCTTTAGAGCTGTCAGACAGGGATGTTTAAGTCTGCAGAAGTTGCTCTGCCTTTTGTTCAGATATGCCCTGCCCACAGAGGTGGAGTCTATAAAGGCAGTAGGCCTTGCTGAGCTGTAGTGGGCTCTGCCCAGTTTGAGCTACCTGGCCTCTTTGTTTGCCTATCAAGCCCCAGCAATGGCAGACGCCCTGCCCCTAGCCAGGCTCCAGCCTGGCAGGTTGATCTCAGACTGCTATGCTAGCAGTGAGCAAGGCTTCTTGGGCATGGGACCCACCGAGCCAGGCATGGGAGAGAATCTCCTGGTCTGCCGGTTGCTAAGACCGTGGGAAAAGCACAGTATTTGGGCGGGAATGTCCTGTTTTTCCAGGTACAGTCTGTCACTGCTTTCCTTGGCTAGGAAAGGGAAATCCCCCGACCCGTTGCACTTCCCGGGTGAGGCAGCGCCCCACCCTCTTTCAGCTCACCCTCCATGGGCTGCACCCACTGTCCAACCAGTCCCAATGAGATGAATCAGGTACCTCACTTGGAAATGCAGAAATCACCCGTTTTCTGCCTCGATCGTGCTGGGAGCTTTAGACCGGAGCTGTTCCTGTTCAGCCATCTTGGAATGGAGCCCCTCACATGGTTTTTGAGGCAATTTTGACGTGGATTTTCTTTCACACATGAGATACATTCTGAGGGGAACTAGAAGTCCAACCCTTTCAAAATATCTCTGTAGCTGCTTTCCTGCTATATGTGCTCAGTATCACTGATGGACATTGGTATCTATCACATTGTTAAACTGCTTCCTTTATGATGGAGTTATTTTGCACATAAGGACTAAGGACAGGAATGAGTATAAAGTGTACTAGACTTGATCCATGTAATTTTTTATTACCATTTCTGAAATTTCCAGGCTGTGGGGCTTGAGACAAGTTGCTTTGGAGGCAAAGTTTCCCACCTCATCACATAGGTGTGGCAAGTCCTGGTGGGGCAACATGCCTGATGTAGTGACCCAATTCAACTCATTCTTCAAGGTCGGTGCCTACCTGACACTTTCTCCAGGTATTGCAGTGATCTCTCCTTGCTCTGAATTCTGAAATTTAGATAGCTTTATCCAAATATATAGGACTCAATTCCAAACCAGCTTCTCCCAAATTGTTTGTATTCTGGAATAGTATTCAGCAGAATGTTAATAGATACTGAAAAAGGCTGTGGGGTGTGGGTGTGTGTTGTAAATATGTTTCCACCTCATACCAGTCCAAGTAAGACAGAGTTGAATAAGTTGCCTTTATTTACTGCAAGACTTCTCAGAGGGTTTGATGTGTTAATATGCCATGTGGACTTCCAAAAGGAGGCTATAGTACCAAGTGTTCCACTCAGCACTAGAATTAGGGGAGGGCAGACATGGCATATCCACTATGATTTCTTAGAACACTGTTCCTTAAAACATAGTTTGGGAAATGTCAGTCAAGATACTTTCATTTTTTATTCAAATTATAAGTAGTCACATTATCTAAAAAGTTTAGGAAAATAATCAAAGTTACCTGATCCCTTAATATTCTGTTGTGTGAGTTACCTAGAAAACATGCTTTCTAGAAAAGGCCTTTTTAGGAAACATCTTCAAGAATCACGGAATTGAGGAACTTAGGGGGATCTTAGAGAATTATTACTGTTGTTTTTACAAATGATGAATAGTAGAATAACTTACTGAGTCTAGAAATATTAAGGAACTTGACCAGGATTATTCAGGTAGCTAGTGATTGAGCCAGGGCGTGAATCCAGCCTACAACACCAGCAGTTCATTGTCTTTTTGTCACTGCCCCAGGACAGCTCATACAGGATCACCTGGGAAGGAATTACCTTCTGAAACTAGGGTCCTTTACAAATCTCCAGAACGCTGGCCACACGGCTGAAAAAAACTGAACCATGCAAGCATGGGGTCATCTTCTCTCCATGCTCTTCCAGGAATAAGAGAAAGCCTTAGTGCTTTTCCACATGGATGTCAACAAATTCAAATTATGACTGACAAATGAAGAAATTAGATTGGAACTTGGGGACAATAGAATTCATTTACAAAACAATTATTTCTATGTATTGGCTTCATTAAAAACACACACACACACACACAAAAACCCAGGCTTATAGGATATAGATTAGAAATAGGGAAGAGTAGGCTTCTGAATTGATAAATGTCTTGGAAATAAATTCCAAAACCCAATAAAATTTATTATATGTGATAAAGATGGAAAAAAGTTGGAGGAGGAGGAACTACCTTGGTGCATGATCCTCCAAACAAATAAATAAAAATAACAGCAATACAAAGAGTTTTAGAAAAAGTTGAAAGAAATTAAGAGTTTAAAGAAATTAGGAGGTAGAAAAAGAGTTACAACAAAACTTCTCATTGCTACAGTAACCAAAATAGTGTGATACTGGTACAAAAACAGACACATAAGCTAATGGAACAGAATAAATAACTCAGAAATAAAACCATACTTCTATGACTAGCTGATGTTTGACAAACCTGACAAAAACAAGCAATAGGGAGAGAATTCCCTATTCAATAAATGGTGCTGGGATAATTGGCTAGCCATATGCATAAGATTGAAACTGGACCCCTTCCTTACACCTTATATAAAAATTACCTCAAGATGGATTAAAGACTTAAATGTAAAACCCAAAACTATAAAAACCTTCGAAGACAACCTAGGCAGTACCATTCAGGACATAGGCATGGACAAAGATTTTATAACGAAGACACCAAAAGCAATTAAAACTAAAACAAAAATTGACAAATGAGATCTAATTAAACTAAGCTTCTTCCGCACAGCAAAAGAAACTATCATCAAAGTGAACAGACAACCTACAGAATAAGAGAAAATTGTTGCAAACTATGCAGCTGACAAAGGTTTAATTATCCAGCAACTATAAGGGACTTAACTTTATAAAAAGAAAAAAAAAACAACCCCATTAAAAATTGGGCAAAGAACATGAACAGACGAATATATACGTACTTCTCAAAAAAGATATACATATGGACAACAATCATATGAAAAAAAATCTTGGCTGGGTGTGGTGGCTCATGCCTGTAATCCCAGCACTTTGGGAGGCCGAGGTGGGTGGATCACCTGAAGTCAGGAGTTCGAGACCAGGCTGACCAACGTGGTGAAATCCCCGTCTCTACTAAAAATACAAAAAAATTAGCCAGGCGTGGTGGCACACACCTGTAGTCCTAGCTACTCGGGAGGCTGAGGCAGGAGAATCGCTTGAACCTGGGAGGCAGAGATTGCAGTGAGCTGAGATCACACCATTCACTCCAGCCTGGGCAACATACGTGAAACTCCATCTCAAAAAAAAAAAAAAAAAAAAAAAAAAAGCTAGCTCAACAGCATTCATTGATCATTAGAGAAATGCAAATCAAAATCTTAATGATATACCATTTCACACCAGTCAAAATGGCATTATTAAGGAGTCAAAAGCTCACAGATGCTGGCAAGGTTGTAGAGAAAAATGAATGCTTATACACAGTTGGTGGGAGTGTAAATTAGTTCAGCCATTGTGAAAGACACTGTGGCAATTCCTCAAAGACCTAAAGACAGAAATACCATCTGACCCAGCAATCCCATTACTGAGTATATACCCAAAGGAATATAAATTGTTCTATTATAAAGACACATCCACGTGTATGTTTATTGCAGCACTATTCACGATAGCAAAGACATGGAATCAACCTAAATGTCCATCAATGATAGATGGGATAAAGAAAATGTGGTATATAAACACCATGGAAAACTATGCAGCCATAAAAAAAGAATGAGATCATGTCCTTTGCAGGGACATGAATGGAGCTGGAGGCCATCATCCTTAGCAAACTAATACAGGAACAGAAAACCAAATAGTGCATGTTCTCACTTATAAGTGGGAACTAAATGATTAGAACATATGGACACATGGAGGAAAACAACACACACTGGGGCCTATCAGAAGGTGGAGAGTGGGAGGAGGGAGTAGATCAGGAAAAATAACTAATGGTTACCAGGCTAAATACCTGGGTGTTGAAATAATCTATACAACAAACCCCCATGACACCAGTTTACCTATCTAACAAACCTGAACCTGTACCCTTGAACTTAAAAATTAAAAAAAAAAACAAAAAACAAGAAAAAAGGTGGTGTATTTACACAGACATATATTATATTGATTGACAGCTAAATGGCAGCACCATATGAACTAAAGATTTTTTTTTTTTTTTTTTTTTGAGGCAGGGTCTTGCTCTGTCACCCAGGCTGGAGTGCAATGGCAGGATCTCAGCTCACTGCAACCTCCACCTCCCAGGCTCAAGGGATCTACCCATCTCAGCCTCTCAAATAGCTGGGATTATGGGTGCACACCACCACGCCCAGGTAATTTTTGTATTTTTAGTAGAGACAGGGTTTTGCCATGTTGCCCAGGCCGGTCTCCAACTCCTGAGCTCAAGCGATCCACTGGCCTCGGCCTCCCAAAGTGAGCTAAAGATTTTTAATACATTGTCTTATCTAATCCTCACAATATCACTATGCTATAGTAGACCACAGTGTGGCCCCCACCCAGACCAGCACAATCAGAAACATGTGGTAATGTTTTACAAATGCAAATTTGCAGTCATCAACTCAGAATTTCTGAATCAGAAGCCCTGGCGTGTGACTCTGCGATTTCCTGGTACACTGATCCAAACTCTCCAGGTGATTCTGACACATTCTGAAGTTTGAGTATTCCTGCATTACGTTCATCTTAAAGATGTGAAAATTAAGGATAAAGGAACTTAGACAATTTCCCTTAAAGTCATCCAGCTCAAATGCGGGAGAGAGGGCACTTAGACATGTGTTCCTCTACATCTGATGCCCATGCTGTGAATCAACATAGTGTATTGCGCTTCTCTGATAACAGTATTCTTTTGTATTGAAGGCCTTCTCAGAGCTTTGGCGCATAAATAAATAAGGTATTAGGATAGAAAATGAGTTCTCCCAGGGAAAGAAACAAGGGAAAGAAGGTAATAAAGCGTTCCTACCAGGCCACAGAAAGAGACAGCTGCAGAATCTATTCACCTCCATGTAAACAGCTCACCAAGAGGGAGGCGTTCAGCAAGGCAATTGGGGTGAAAGCCCTGAAAAATGCCCCAGTCTTTCCCTGCAGGGTTTATGAACCGCTTTGGCAGGCTAACAGCAGCACATTATATGTAATTGCTGGTTTACTCTACCTTGTCTGCCTTTTATTTTCACAAGGAATCCTTGTTATTCAGTGGGATTAGCAAAGGAATCTATTAAGTGGTGGCTACAAAGACTGCACAGTATTTATTCCAGTAATAAAAAGTCTAATTTTGCAATAACATGGCAATCTTTGGGAAGCGCTGGCTGATGGAATCCAAGTCTGGCAAAATTAGCCTCTTTTGGTGGTGCTTATTATGGTGCCTGTGAGAAGGGAGAGGAGGGGGAGGTTATTTGCCAAGTAAGCCCTTTTGCAAAACAAAACAAATTCCCTTTCACACAATTCTAAAATGGAAAAATGGGGAATCAGCCATCAGGCTAAGAGAGCAGAAACAGCAAGGGGGCAGGCTCTTAATTAATGTAGGCTAAGGCTAACTGCATTTAGAGGCAGGGATGTGTTCTTGGCAAACGTGCGGAGTAGTTTGCCACCTGGTCCTATTCCTCCCTTCCTGAGCCATTGGCAGGTGCCTGGTGCCATCAACATGCCTGTGGGCTCTCAGTACCGTTTATGATTCAGTGAAAATCAAACTTCACTTAGCGATTCACAGAATTTCAGAGCTTAAAGGGACCTTAGACCTTACAGATAGTTAATAGATTATGTTGTTATTAAAGACACAGCACCAGGACTTTAAATCATGTCTCTTAGTTGTCGTTTCCCCTCGCTTTTCCCACAGTTTCATCAATTAGTGTTGATTTCACATCATTGTTTCTTCATTGTACCATTCACAAGGAAGCTCTAGACCACATGAAAGTAAAACCATAAATTCAGAACTGCTTATTTCAGAAGCGGAAATCCCCTTGGTATTTATTGATTAGGATGGCAATTGCTTCTTTCTTGATCCAAAAGATGTTTTAAAATTCAAATTCCAGCCTGAAAAATATTAGCTGTGCATCTCCAGAGTTTGCCAAGTCTAGATTGAGGACAACCTTTTGTTCTCATTCTACATGCCTCAAGAGGCATAAACTAAAAACTTACTTGCTTTTGTTTCTTAAACAATGGCTTTGAGTGCTGGAATAATTTAATAAGCTCGCTGCAAAGCCTTAGTTCTTATTGCAAAAAAAAAAAAAAAAAAAGAGACCGATATGTTGTGACTGCATATATAACTAACATTCCAATTAACCCAGACACTCTAGGATCTCTGAGAGACAGCTTCAGCTTCATTTAATACACATAGTCTCACTAAACCACAAACTCAGGTTGCTATCAGTGGGAGTGGTTATCATAAAAATTAGCCAGAGATTACTAGCTGCTGTCCAAAATGGAAAGAACAAACATTGTAAAGCACCGATATAGTAATTGAAACACAAATAGAAATTTAAATCATTTCTACTTAAGGTTATGTCTTCTATTTATCCTACATACTCCTAAATTAACACCCATCCTTAACATCAACAATGATTAACATTTCATATACTATTACTTAGTAAAATTGAGAGTAGATTCATATTATTTTAGCATAACTAAATATCATCCCATTTATACAATTTATATTGAAATTGATGAGCCAAAAATTAACTTAGATTTTAGCCAGAAACCATCAAGAGGAAAGACTGACTCCTGGTTTATGTTTATGATGAAGGATAAATGATGCTTCAGTTTTTGTCCCCACTGACAAAGCTATTATGTGAGTTTTGCTTGTGAAAGCTTCTTTCTAGGTTATAGCCACTAGTGGTCATTAGGAATTGTTAGTAAATGAACATGTGTTTGAAATTCGTAAGTATATTTATGACATCTAAGTTCATTCAGCAGTTTAACTCATGGGTGCCTCTGATAAAGCACGTTTCAGATAAAGAACAGTTTAGTTAACTTGATTTGTGGCTTTGCTTGTTGTTACTCTTATGCCATTGCCTGCATCTTTCACAGCCTGGGCCTTAACCCTTTCTCTTCCTTTTGACTTTCCCTGTCACCTGTGGTGGAACAGTATGGCCTTCAATGAAAGTTCTAAAATAAAAGGGACATATTGATTATCTAAATTCTATTCAGATTCTGTTGTACATTGCCAGGTCCATGGACTCTGTGTAAGTGCTTATAGTAACATAGTGGCATAAGGGAAATAAAAAACAAGGGTTGTATTTTCAGGACAAGCTTTTAGCTGTCACTTGGCAGCAACAGTTCAGAATGTAAGTAACATTTAATGGCAAAGACATGGAAAGAAACGTGATGTATGTTTTTTGTTAACTAGTGTCCCTCTAATCCTATCCAATCCTCCTCTACCACACACACACACAGGCACACACACACACACACACACACACACACACACAAATAAACATCTTAGAAGGGATTGGGTCACTTTTGTTATTGTCACAGATATTATAATTATTAGTATTTCGCATGGATTCCAGGGACTCTACAAGAGATGCAACAAGGATTTAACACCTCTGTGTAGTAAACACTAAGGAATAGCTTCCTTATTTCTCTTAATTGAGACAGGATAAAAGTATCATTGGTCGGAAAGATGAATGTAAGCTTTGTTTGGGTATTTTGCAAACAACTGATTCTGAAAAGAGGAGATACTCCACTACACAAATCTTCGTGGACAAGATTTTAAAATTTCTTTAAGGATGGAAGAAATGCAATTGTGGATAAACAAGCATAATGATAATATTTTTTCCGATCTTGCTCTAATGTAACCACAACAGAAAGACATTTAAGAGAGCATAAAGTTTTTAAGTCATTGTGCTGTTCTATTTCCCACATTCTTGTTCTGCAACAGCAGTGCTCTTTAACTGTTCATCCTGCCACCCACACAGCAACTTATTCATGTGTAAAGGTTAAAGCTGCATAATTATGGTAGAAACACATAAAAGCTACACAGCCTTACAGCCTGATGTGTTCAGCACATAATATTGGAGAGAGTAAGGGACCATGCATATATATATATATATACACACACACACACACACACATATATATACACACACATATATATACACACACACATGCATTCATGCATATATATATATATATATATATATATATATATATGCAAAAGAGGAATAGACAGAAACAGACAGAAACAGACAGATGAAGAGAAATAGGGGTGGGGGGATTTTTTCCTTTTTGGATAGAATTTTTTCCGCAGAAAAAAGTTTGCAGCTCTGCATTAGAAAATGGCCGCATGTTACCAACTAGACTAAAAGCAAATCTGTCTCTAGGTTTGGAAAGAATCTTTGCTTCCCAGACACCCAACTACTATTTCTCTAAGGACAACTCATGATAATACCTGTGATAGTTTTAACTTACCAATGTGTGCGTACTGATTCTAGCAAAGATCCAAGTGGTCTAGTTTAGGATTTCTTTTTAGAAAAGGCACTCATTTAGGCACATAGTAGTCACAAAGTACGTGCTGGTTGAATGAAATAAATTTTATCTGGGAAATTATGTTACAGATGTATAGTTGCATTAATTTGAACTAAAATATGTTTCTGGGGAGAGTTCCTGAAAAGTCATTAAACCCTATAAAAGACTTTGCTAATTGGGAATTAGTTCTGGAAGATGTAACCTGACGGAAAAGGAACATAGATTGGTAAAAGAGGGAAAATCACTTGTAGAGCAGAAATTTTAATGGCTGTGATTGCCTTCCTTACAAACAAACAGGAAATTAGTGCCTTGAGTGTAACTTACACATTGTAACTGAAAGAAGACCCTGATGAGATGTTCAGTACTTACATTATACATCCTTACGTTAGATTCTTTTCGCTTTTTAATGCAAGAGGCCTTTAATGGCAAAGTTTCAGATAATTCCTACAAGCATGATCCCAGCAGCACCATTGTATTTCATGGAATAGCATAATTCGCTTGACAGAAACTGAATAATAATTTTCAACACTTTGACATGACATTTATTGATTTCTTATAACTAGTTCAAGTTGAGAGAGAAAGGAAGGAGAAAACCCATAACCCCAAGGCATTTAATGTTAGAACTGCAAGTGATCTTTTGATTTATTTAATATAAAATGCCTGTATTATGAATGACATGAAAAAAGCCCTCAATGATTGCCTAGTTTTGTAAGTGAGGAAATGAATGCTCACAAAAGAATCAGACCTGTCTCTTCTGGCTTATCTTTCAGAGCTTCTTTGCCATGTTCATTCCTGAACCAGAAAATCGCAAGCAAAGTTAATAGCATCCACAAGTCCTACTGTTTATCAGCGTTACTGCTCATTCTTGCCTAACTGCTAGTCAGTTTTCTTCCTAACTTAAGCCACAGAAATGTATGAGATTCCATCTCCTGGTAGAAGTTATGTGCCTCCTCTAGAAACCGGAAGTGTAGGGTTACTTATAGACGAGACATCCTGGGCTTAGGAGCAGTTTTTGATGATTTGTTCATTTATAAAGCAGTGACAACCGGCTTGAGTGTACAGATCTAAATGAAGACAGGATAATGCTGATGCAGATAGTGATGATGGCTGTAACAGCTCACATATGTTCCTGTCACTGTGCTAGGCACGGAGGCATTACAACTCTATCAGCCCTCTCCATTTATAGTGAAAACCAAGATGTAGAGAGAGAGAGATTAAGGATGTGCATGGCAGAATCCAGATCTAAATCTGGGTCTCACTGATTCAAAGCACACAGCCCTAACCACTATAAAATATTGCCACCCACATGGAGAAATCATAGAAATAATCCTCATCTCAAATCCAGCTGGATCACTGGAAATTTCCCCAGAAATCCTCTTCCTGATGCTCTTTCTCCAGAGGAGTTAGAGATGTTCTTATTTATTAATAACAGTTTTCTTGAAAGCCACACAGGGTAGTATGTTATTGGTCTTATTTATTTGCTGAGGAACTAGAAAGAGAAAAACATAGTAAGGTCAGTGATGAAGTCTATCAATGAATCACTCAAATCCCCATTCACTTTCCTAATTTAGGTATCTTCTTACTAAGAATTATTTATACCACATTTAAAATATGTGCATATAAAAATATACTTTAAATTTGATTTTAGTTCTAAATTCTTCCATTCTAAAAGTTATTATCAATAAATTGCCATACAGTTGCTTTTCTTAAACATGCTGATGAGTAACGTGTGGCTACAGAGAAAATGAAAGTATGAAAATCACTCAGACAATGTGAGTACAGAGCCATGACAGTGGACATAAAATATTCAATTCTTATTTATAAAAGTGGAAGTATTACAAAACCCTCTGGACTTTCAACCTGATCCAGTTATAATGAAAATCCAGTAAGTTCCTAGAAACTTGGAATTCTTCCTCTTGTTTTAGAAATCTTCTGGATTAACTTTGCCAGTCTATTTTTTTTCCTTGGCATTATTGCTTGAATGCAAGACTCTATTGGTCTAAAGTTGGGGCAGAGAGAGAAAGCATGGAGTCATCATCCCTTACCAACCCCACCTGGATGGACTTACAAGCAGCACAAAATGCTAGTTTCTGTTCGGCGAGAAACTCTGACATTCAATGGAACGGAAAAAAAAGTATTTTTTAAAAATATTAACTTTTATGGCTACTAAAAGATGTAAATGTTTCTGTCCTACAGGGGTGGGGTTAGGATAATTCTGAGGTTTGAATGAAGATATTCACTTTTGACTTTTTAATTTTATTAGTATACTTAGTATTGTTGAACACATAACCACAATAAAACATTTAAAAAATGCAAAATTACTGGGAAAACCAAACCCAAAAATAATAACGAGTATATTTATTTGACATTTATTTTGTATAATTCACTTGTATATGCACTGTACATGGATTATGTAATTTAATCTTTGCAACAACTTCAGGAGACAGTATTTTTAGTGTTCTCATTTTATAGATCAGAAAACCAAGAATTAGCAAGGTTTAAATGATTCATCCCATATCACCCAACAAATAAATTGCAATTAAGCCATAATTTCATATTTGCATGCTTCCAAAATGAATGCTACCACCATCTTATCCTGTGTAGCTATTTCATGTGAAGAGATCAAGCCTTTATTTTAAAGAGATTCATCAGATTTTCATTGAAGAAAGAAATACAGGCTATTCTAGTCTCCAGAAAAAAAATAATAGTTCAACTAGAAGAAATCAAACGTAAGAAATTCCAGTCCTAATGTAATATTTAGAAGAAAGTTAAAATGCAGAAATAGAGGCTGTGTGTGTAATAGCCACCTCAGTCTTAACTGTCCTGCCTTTACTTCCTGACTGTAATTTTGTCTCAGGTTCATATTTCACACATACGGAAAATACCAGCTATTCCCAGAAACATGTAATAAATGGATAGGAAAAGCTATGATTTCTTCTTCCCTTAAAGTATATGTTCCTTTGGACAAAACTACCATTAATTTCCCTACTGCTCTTCTTTTGCTGAATTTCAAGATTGTACAAGATTTTGTAACTTGCTTCCAGAGCAACTGAAAATGGAAAATGTTAAAATAAGTGCACATTTTCAACTTGATCATTTTTCTTTACTTTGCTTCCTCCCCTGTATAAGAAACAGTTTTTAACCTCAAGTCTTTTCTGCATCTGAAAGACTTTCAGAAAGGGGTGGGGTTAAGAGAAAGAGAAAGTTTTTTTTGCTAGTCTACACTAGTGTAAACAGAGACAAAGTATAGCACTTTCACTTTCATTACAGACACTGCCTCTTTAAGGCAAAACTAATGAATTTGACAGATCTTGCTCACTCCACTACATCTATGAGAGGTTGCTTAGCAACCACAGGACATTGGAGAGAGGGCAATGTTAGAGCAGGTTGCAGAAAGAAGGAACTATCATTAACTCTGCAGATGTTAGATATGATCCATCCGCTATCTCCCTTTCTTTTGTGTTATCTATCGGTCATTTCAAATGGCAGGTCCTACTGCTACCTAGAACTCAAGATTTACGATTTCATCCTTTACCTTCCAAGCCAATGATCTGATCCAACCAAAGATCCTGTGAAAAGCATTCTTTCACAGAGTGGAGGGACTGTTACAGTTAAAAATAACAATGACCTGTTTGAATCTTATGCCTCCGATCTTTCTCACATTTTTCGAGTGAGAAAAAAAAAATAAAAAGCAAAATATTTTCAACAGTTTCATTGGCTAATTTTTGTTTTGCACATTTCAGTTTGCTATAGGATATTGGACCTATTCTCTTGCTCATAAGATGGACTTGACCTTATTAGAAACTGATTTATATGAGGTTTTTTAGTCCATTTATATGAGCTCCTGATTCCCTTGAGAGCTTGCTGCCACAGGGTTCTTTCATTATTGGTTTATACATTTAATCCTCTATGTACATAAATAATTCTTATTAACCTTTATTTGACTGATATATCTTAGTAATTTCCAAAAATACCACTTTTTAGTCCTAGAAATAGATATGCAACTTTTACAAACAATTCTAAGATCATAAAGTATGGGAGATCAAATTTACTTCCTGAGTTAAATAGTGGCAAATAAGAGCAAATATTTTATTCTGTATTTACTATGTGCCAGGCTCAGAGCTAATTCCTTTAAGAAAATATAGCATGTATTTCTCATAGCAACCCTATAACGTAAGTACTATTGTTATTAGCCATTTTAAGAAAAAGGAAACCAGGTTTTACTATCTTGTTCAAGATCATAGTAATGTTAGTCATGAAAGCAGTGATTGAGCCTAAGTCTGCCTACACCCAGAAGCCAAACTGGGAACCCAAACACCATTCTATCTCTCTAAATGTTAAAGGCTCCACAACTGGTTCTTCAAAAATAATAACAAAAAAGACAGAAAGAAAGGAGGAAGGGGGAGAAAGGAAGAAAAGAAAGAGCAAAAAATATTATCACTTAGTATTAGGATCTTAAAAAACAAGAAAATGGTAAAAAAAAAAAAAAAAAGAAATGTCCTCACCTTTCAATAGGTGTCAGAGAAAAAGCATCAGATCACTTCTACATGATGAAATCCAGGAAATGTAAATATTAAAACATAAACCTGAGATATTTATGGTATGGTGAAAGCATTCATGTTTTTTAATCCAACAGATCTGAATTCAAATCCAATTTCTATTCCTGGTTCTGCAGTTAACCTCTAAACCTCTCTTCACCTCTCTAGACTTCAGATTCACAATCTATAAAATAGATATAGCAATACTAGGTTTGTTATGAGAAGTGAGATTA
Organism: Homo sapiens; assembly: GCF_000001405.40. Lineage (NCBI taxonomy): Eukaryota > Metazoa > Chordata > Mammalia > Primates > Hominidae > Homo > Homo sapiens. The sequence continues at coordinate 105,836,672 of NC_000010.11, read as the reverse complement.
CATACCAAAATTGCCTCGTTCACTTCCTGTAAGTAAAAGGCACTCGACAAATATTGGTTAATATTTTTCGAAAAATGAAATAAATGTGGGTAAGTAAGGATCTATAAAACTAAATGAGAAGAGTAAATAATCTCTGATGTTGTTATGAGAAATCCCACAAGACTGTCCATTATTGATTTCCATGATTTCCTAATTATTGACACCTATTTAATTGTTCTAGAAATGATACTAACCTATTCTTTAAATCCAAAATTCATCTATACACACTGTAACACCCTTTCTTTATTTTTTTATTATACTTTAAGTTCTAGGGTACATATGCACAACGTGCAGTTCTGTTACATAGGTATACATGTGCCATGTTGGTTTGCTGCACCCATCAACTCGTCGTTTACATTAGGTATTTCTCCTAATGCTATCCCTCCCCCGACCCCTCACCCCACGACAGGCCCTGGTGTGTGATGTTCCCCTCCCTGTGTCCAAGTGTTCTCATTGTTCAATTCCCACCTATGAGTGAGAACATGCGGTGTAACACCCCTTCTTAATGACACACTTTCTGTATGCAACATGCTGTGCTATATTTTATGTTCAATTCAGGTGCAAGCACAGTCCCTTTTATCAAGGATTATAAAAGGAGAAGGAAGGCACACACACAAATAAATACAACAAGGCAAACAAAACTGCTTAGCAGAGTTTGGAGAAAAAGTTTTCACTTCTGGCTGGGATGTCAGAAAATAGTTCCTAAACCAAAGAAAATATAAACAAGGTCTCCTCAGTAGGCATTTGTAGTTTGGTGGTGGATTTTTATTTTTTTCATATAGCAACCACTTATCCCATCTGCTACAACAGATTCTTATGATCTCCCTTTCATGTGAGGAATTCCCGCTCTAGAACCCACTCTTGGCGCTTGTGATTTGGTGCTACTAATTCTATCTAGTGATACTTGAGCACCCAGCAAGATCTGGGCCAGTCAACAGAGTCCATGGCCCTGGCCACAATGTTTGGTTCAGTGGTGAAAACGTAATCCATAACAAGTCAATCAACCTAGTTCTGTCTTTGACCCAACAGGAAAGCTTCTTTTCTCTTCCACAGGATAAATGCCTTTCTATGGTATGGCTGTGTTTCTATAACTAAGCTGTTCTCACATTACTATTGATATCATTTAAGCATTGAACTCAGCTATACTCAAAGCTGAACCTCCACCTCTGGTCTTGCCTGTGTATTTTAATTATCTAAGTCCATATATATTTTGTCCTACCTGTTGATTTTTTTTAACTTTTTGTGGGAAATGAAACACAGTTTATATTCCCAATTGATACAGCTTTGAAGAACAACTAAAATTTCAGCAGGTGGAGAGGGTGGAAAAGGGCATACAAATAGGAAAAATACAGGTGAGGGCATAGGCTGGAGAACCTGTTCAGGGAGAGGGAGCCCAATGTGCAGTCACCCTCCTGCTGTCCTCCTGCCTATACCCACTAATCCATGTCCCCTTCTACTGGTGTCACTGAGCTAAATGAAACCCACTGCCTTGCAGTTGAGGGTCAGGGACTTTTTGACCATCTCTCGGACACTGGCATCAAGCTTTTTATGTGGTTTCTATCCTTTGCTGTGTAGCCATCTGGACTCCAGTGAAGAAGAGAATACATTTAGTGTCACCACATAAAGAAGCAGATGTAGCCCTATCAAACAACCCCATAAAGTTAATTAGATGTGATGAGTTCTTTTTGTTCACGTTTATCTACTAAACCTGAAAAGAATGTTGGAGAGACTTGCTTAGCAGAGCTCATCACCCACCCCACAACTCCCACAGATGGGAGGAATGACACATACTGCTGGAAAGTGCGCTCAAATTCTTCTCTTTTCTTATCAAGATATCTCCTCTTGCATACTTTTCTGGAGAGTTTAGTGAGTAAAGGAATGTGTGTAGCAGTTAATTAGACAGAAAAGTGACCCACACTTCTTTCTCCCAAATGTCAGCTCACTGTCTTTCATTCTGTTTCATAGGATCAGTGTTAGGGTCTGGAGAGAGTGGCATGTTCCACATCTGGCCATTAATGGGATGGCTTTATCCTCTTTTTTCTGACCCACTCATTAAAGGCTTGGCTCAGACCTCAGCTGCTCCATATTTCCTTCCCAGAACACTCCAGTCACAACCTGCAGCTATGGGACTCAGACCCTGCTGTGGAATCATACTAAGGTGGCGGGGGTGGCAGTGAAGTGTCACAAGTAATCCATTACTAGTAAGTCACTTGTGAATAATTTATATTTTCACAATTTAGGTCAAATTCAAGCTTAGCCCTATGGAAACAATATTCTCACTCTTTTAGATACTGTCAGAAAATTCTCTCATTTCTATATTATATATCTCAAATCCCACACAGCTCTTACCTCCACCGTTCATCCTCCCAAGTCCCAGTTTTCATCTGAACTGCAAGAAGTCCCTGTCATTTTGCTTCTACTGTCGGTCTGATGCCTACCCTGGACTGTAAGCCACACATGTACCTCTCGAATACTTCTAAAATGTAGATGAGATCATTCCGTGTCATGGCCCATAATCCTCCAATAACTTGCCTACACATTGAGACTGAAACACTTGTCCACCAGCTTCTATGGGATCTGGCCCCTGACCTTCTCGTTATACTCATTTCCCTCACTCTGTTTATTCCACATCAAACCAACTGACCTCCTCATTCGTCCTTGAAAATACCAAGTACATTCCAGTCTCAGGAACTTTGCACTTACCATTCCTTTGACAGGATTGTTTATCCCCCAGATAGTAACATAGCCTTTCTCCTTCACTAAACCCAGGACTTAGCTCATAGACAAACTCCTCAGAGTTATTTCCTGACAGTGCTACTTAAAATGGCACCTGCTCCATTCACTATACCTTTACCATCAGAGCAGACATTATCATTTGACATCATCCAACCACATATCTCTTTATCTGCTTCTCAACAAGATTATAAGCTCTATGATGGCAATGACTTTGTAATAATTACTACACATAACAGTATCTTGAACAATCATTAAGGTAAGTACTCGGTACTTATTATTGAACCAAATAAATAGCCTATATTATATCTTCTCTATTTCAAAGCCAGTAATGTGTTTAGCATGTAAAAGGACAATTGTTATGTGTTTCCTGTACAAACTATGGTACCTGGCTATGCCACCGTCTACTTATACTAACACCAAAGCTTAGAATAACACTTAGAACATAGTAAACACTATGTAAGTATATGCCGAGTATTTTAATATATAATATGAATTTAATTATCACAGCTCTGTCAGGCACTATAATTGTCCACATGTTAAATATATGGAATCTGAAGCACATATAGTTTAAAGATCTTGACTAAGGTCATGCAGTTAGTACATAGCAGAACTAGGATTTGAACCCAAGTAGGCTGGCTCCAGATTCTGTCATCTTAACTAGCAGGCTATATACTACGGTATTACTAAATTGTTTGGAATGATATGATGTAAGACAGTGATTTTATCAATAGTACTTAATCAGGTATGATTTTTATTTTATTACTCTTTGTACCATATTTTATCTACTCAATGAAGATACTACACTCTGAGCAAGACCTAGGTCTTCTGTAACTCCACTGTGCCACACATATAAGATATACACAGTGAGGATTTGTTGATGGATTGTTGTAAATGCGTATACCCTGGAGGGACTAGATCGTAACCTTTTTTTTTTTGGTGGAGTCTTGCTCTGTCGCCCAGGCTGGAGTGCAGTGGTGTGATCTCTGTTCACTGCAACCTCCGTCTCCGTCTCCTGAGTTCAAGCAATTCTCCTGCCTCAGCCTCCTGAGTAGCTAGGGCTACAGGCGCGTGCCACCACACCCAGCTAATTTTTGTATTTTTAGTAGAGATGAGGTTTCACCATGTTGGCCAGGATGGTCTCGATCTCTTGACCTTGTGATCCGCCTGCCTTGGCCTCCCAAGGTGCTGGGATTACTGGCTTGAGCCACTGCACCCGTCCAGCCTACACCTTTATTGACTGCTGGTTGAGAATAAAATTTTTAAAAACCAGAACTCAATATAAACACCTAGTTGAGAAAACAATAAGGAATATGTGAACATAGAAAGCAAGAGAGAATAATTATGTCTAACTTGGTCATCTTTACAATTCTATTAATGGAGTTACTGTGGTTTTTTTTGTTTTTTTTTTTTTTTTTTTTTTTTGCTCTATGGAGTAAACACAAAATGAAGGAACTTCCCTTTTAAGACGTGTGTATCTAAAGTCGCTGTTTCTGAAACAGAACAAACTAGGGCCAATTCATATTTGTACCTTCTCATGCTTCTGTGAGCCAGGAGTATGCCTCCATTCACGGGCTTTCTTAATTAAATGAATTGTCCTGTGACATCACCATGTCAGGCATTAACATTACATATATTTTTCAAAATCTATTTTCAGAAGGAGTAATTTTCCATAAAAAATATTTGCAATAACAAATATTCAAAATCATTACGGTTCTTCCATGGTGAAATAATCTAAAATGGTGACATCAATTGAATCAGTCATTTATAATAATGGTATTCATACTGCGTTCTTTGGCCTTTTCCTATTCAGCATATGCTATTTTATTTGAAAGCAGTCACAGTGACATTTATTGGACAATTCAATGGTCTTTTACAGATAAATTTAGCCCTTCTTCCTATTTAAATAGAAAGGATAAAAATGTTTCTTCCTGGGAGCTGCTTAAAACATTCCCCTAGATTAACTTGCCTTCCTTCTTCTGATAGAAAATGTTACATTCTGTTTAGGAGGTCGTGAGTCAGAGATCTAGAGATTTAAACTAATCCTGATTTGAAAATTTTAGCTGTGACCCCAGAAATCTTTCAAAATGTCTTGCCTTGTTATTTGGAATAGATATCCAAGATAAGAACTGAATCCATCAGCAAGGATTTCCTAACTTGCCCTTAGCTTCCTTCTGATTGGCAAAAGCAATGCTCCCCTAACTCCAGCTTTCCTGTCTGTCTTTATTTTTTACACTATTAATATCTCAAGTCCTTAGCACTTTTCCTTCTTTCTTCCTTCCCCTCACTTTCTGCCATTTTAAATAGAAGGAACTTTATGAGTATTAACTTGACTCAGTTTCTTCTGACTTAATAGTGCTAGGCAATAACACAATACACAAAATTATCCCCCTGAGAACGCTAAATATCAAGAAAAAATTTAAAACTTAAAAAATGTCCTCTGGATAGCTAAATGCAGTAGGAAGATTGTATATGTGCGTGTGTGTTTGCGTGTGTGCATATACACACACACACACACACATACTTACTGCCTTTATGGATGAGTAAATTCCAGTCATGTAGTACAATTTAGGTAAGCAATGCTCTCTTTAAACACCTAGGGTCTTCTCTAAACGATGACACCACAAATGTTTGATTGAGTCAATTTAGTGAGAAAATCAGTCAAAGCAGATATTTGGCACCATGCAGACAAAACGACGAGCTGATTAACTAAGTTTTGCCACTTAACTCATGGTTGTTGGGTATCACACAGGCTTGGTCCCATAGCAACAAGCTAAAAGTATAGCCTTTCTGATATTTACTAAGTAGTTATTTTAGCATTAATCCCCTGAAGTTCTGTACATTATCACAATAGTCTTAAACTATTTTCCAATGAAACCTTTATTCCACATCATGGATTTCAGACTACCACAAGATGAAATGTGCAAATATTTAGTTATAACCTAAAAATTCATAGACTCCCTTGATATATACCAAGGAGGATTACTGTGTTCCTGTTCTCAGCTCTATCAGGCTATGAGCTCCATTTACCTGACAACATATTGAAACAGTTATCTACATTCCCTGCCTCATATTTTTCACTTCCCATTTATTCCTTAACCAAATGAAATTTTGCATCAACATCTCTCCAAGGCTGCTCTCTCAAAGGTTAGCAATAATCTTGGCATTGTCAGATGCAGTGACTTTTTCTCAGCCTTTATCTGGTTTCAAGTCTATGTAACTTGACTCAAGTGCCTCCTTTTTGAAACGTTACACTTTGGCTTTTATGGGACAATTCTCTTCTCTTTTTCTAGTGCTTTTGCCTGTCTCTGTCAGTATCTTCCACTGGCTCCTTTACCTTAAGCTGCTCCTTAAGAGTTCGTATCAACAGAAAGACAAAAATAGCATTTTATCACTTCTGTGTGAAATCTAAAAAAGTCAAACTTAGAAAACTGGAAGTAAAATGGTGGCTGACTGAGGCTATGGGGTGGGGGAAGTGGGAAGATATTGGTCAAAGGAGTATAAAATTTCAGCTATAAGATGAATAAATCCTAGAAGATCTAATGCACAGTAATGATAACTATAGCTAACAATAACATACTGTACACAGAAAATTTGCTAAGTGAATTTTAAGTGTCCTCACCATACATACACACATACATATACACATACACACACGTACGCGCTGACATAGTTTGTATATTTGTCCCTGCCCAAATCTCATGTTGAATTGCAATCCCCAGTATTCGAGGAGGGGCCTGTGAGAGGTGACTGTATCATGGACCTGGAGTGTGGATTTCTCACCAACAGTTTAGCACCATCCTCTTGGTGTTGTCCTCAGTGACTTCTCTCGAGATCTGGCTGTTTATAACTGTGTGGTACTTCGCTCTCTCTCTCTTGCTCTTGCTCCCACCATGTGAGAAGCCTGCTCCCCCTTCACTTTCCACTGTGATTGGAGGCTTCCTGAGGCCTCCTCAAAAGCAGATGCTGGCACTGTGCTTCCTGTGCAGCCTGCAAAACCATGAGCCAATGAAACCCTTTTTCTTAAAAATTACCAAGCCTCATTATTTCTTTGTAACAATGTAAGAATGGCCTAATACACACATACACACACACACACACACACACACACACACACACACACAAAGGTAACTTATGTGAGGTGGTGGGTATGTGACAGCTTGATAGTGGGAATCATGACACAAGGTCTACTTATCCAAAGACTGCATTGTATGCCTTAAATATACACAACTTTTATTTAACAATTATAGCTCAATAAAACTGAATAAAAAGGAGTAGGTGTCAGAAGAAAAGAATGTACTGTTTTTTGACCTCTTCCCTTTTCCCACACACAATTTTTGTTCATGGCTAATCTCAGTCATTTCTAGATGTAAAATCTATATAGGTAGCCTGTCAAATAGAAACCTCCAGCATAGATCTCCCTCTAGACTGGATTTGAAAATTTGAACTGCCTGCCCAACATTGATAGTGTATATCCTATAGACACTTAACACAGTCCATATCAATTTTTTTATCTTTTCCTCCAGATTTCATCACCCACCTGTAAAGAGTAAATAGATATTAATATACTCTCTATTAATTACATCGGAAGATTTAACACATACAAGTTCTTCCCATGTTCAAAGGTTTTACAAATAATGCCATTAAATCCTTATAACTACCTTTTAAGATAAGTACTACCATTATAATTGTTTTTAATGAGACACAGAACAGTTAAATAATTGTCTAAATTCATACAACTAGATAGTAGCAGACCTTCGCTTTGAACTCAATCTGGCTAACTGTTCTTAAAATATATACTAAACTAGAGAAAGGAGGGAAAGGCAGAAAAAAAGGAAACAGAAAGAGTACTTCTTAAGCAAAAAGTTGACAGAAATATACTATTCATTGCGCTCTTCACTTTACTGCAGCCTAATTCAAACTGTATTTAGTAAAACCTGTGTTGACATATACACTAGGAGTGATTTAGTTTTGAGTGATATGTCTTGCAAACATTTGGTTTATTGTTGAACCATCCCTTTGATATAGATGCCTATATATGTATATGTGTGTGTGTGTGTGTGTGTGTATAGAGAGATATATGTAGATGCTTTCCTCATTATTTTTAATCTTGTTCTTAAATAGCAATAGATCTTCAGGAGTGAAAGTTGTTAGGAATCATCTAGGATTTCTTTGTTTTATAAAGGGGCCTAGGGAGTTGAAGTGATTTGTCCATAGTTACAGAGCAAGTTAGTGGCTGAGCCAAGAATAGAATCCAGATCTTGAACCATTTCGTATTGTGTTTATTCCAATACTGAATATATATACATATATATGTGTGTGTGTTTCATAACATATGGTACATAAGAATAATAGTGTCTTCTGTGTTTAAAGTACTAATTCGCAATTTGAATCTTATGTTAACTTTGTAGAGTTCTATCCCTTCTTAGCCAATAGATTGATTAAAGATCTGATTGGCCATCTGTTATGTGCAGAGACTTGTTTTATTCACATCCCAAGCAGCTTTTAGCAGGCTTCTTGCTCCTGAAGAGCCTGTAGAGGATTAGAGAAGCTCAGCATGGATTCTTCTAAAAGCTGGTCCTGAACTGCCCCTGGCTGTGTCCAGGAAATAGGACCTAGTTGAAGAGAACAGAGTTAAGTATCAAGGGAGACAGTGTGTGCAGCACAGCTGAAAAAATGAGGGTAGGAGAAGATAGAATTCAAGTTGGCAGCTCTACCTTTTTCCTGTCTGAATCACTCCCAGGTGGTAAAGGAACAAAGAATGGGCCCTGTCGTGCCTGAAGAAAGACAACCATGCATCAGCGCATCTAGCTGATCCGCCACTATTCTGGCTAAGGTGCCCATTCCTCAGAATCAATCATGGGACCAGCCAACAGGCTGCATCTCCTGTAACAGGAGATAATGATCCTCTCAGCAAGAGTTTATACCCTTGACCTATGCAGATTATCAATCAGGCAACAACTATTATTACTTGACTTTTTATATTTTTTATTTTTATGGATACATAATAGGCGTATATATATTTGGGGTCCATGAGATATTTTGATACAGGCATATGATGTGTAATAATCATATCAAGGTAAATGGAGCATCAATCAGCTCAAGCATCTATCATTCTTTGTGACTTAAAAAAATATTCTACATTGGGAGCTGAACGTGGTAGCTCATGCTTGTAATTCCAGGTACTTTGGAAACTGAGGTAGGAGGATTGCTTGAGCAAGGAGTTTGAGACCAGACTGAGCAAAATATCAGAATCATATCTCTAAAAAAAAATGGTGGTATACACCTACTAGAGAGGTTGAAGCAGGAGGATCACTTTAGCTCAGGAGTTCCAGGCTGCAGTGAGCTAGGATCATACTGCTGCACTCCAGCCAGGGCAATAGAGAAAGACCCCATTTCCATTAAAATAAATAAAGTCTACATTGCTTTATCGTGGACTGGGTTTGCAATGTACAGAGCCCCTTCATAAACCTCCTTTTATTTGATTCCTACAGAAGCCAAAGGGTTGCAGCAGGGCAAGGGTTATTACTCCACTTACACTTAAGGAAATTGGCTAAGCTCTACACTAATGATCAGAAAACTACAGATGATTCTGGCTTCACCACCAATTAACTTAACAAGTCACTTTAGTTCTTCAGAATCAGTTCCTCTTTTTCTGTGTGCCTTTCAGTCCTAACATTCTGAATCTAGGATTCTCAAGTTAATAGTATAGTAATGATATTCTTATCAATTCCTTCTGTTCTTATTGAGAGGGAGAAATAAAGCAAATGTCTAATAATTTTTATAATTATTTCACTTTTTCTTAGTCTTTAAGTTATTGCCAAAGAAACATACTCAGAAAAAAGCTGAGTAGTGTGTTCCTTTCCCAAGAAGAAAGTCAGGCTGACAGAGTATTTGTTCCTCCACTATACTTAATACTAGGGACAGATTTGTGGACAAGTCCTCAGGCATTAAAGAAAAGAGTTGTATTTAAAAAATAGTATACCTTCAAAAGCATTCTTTGCTTCTCATATATGATTTTGATGCTACAACTATTTGGACAGATTAGAGGTGACCTTAGGTAGTTCTGTTCTAGGTCTTGTCCATATACAAATATTATATTTATATAATAAACATAACACAAATACAACTTTCCTTATTTTTTTATTTACAGTCATAGAAAAACCATGAATGTTAGTGCCACCTCCTCTAGCTGCCTGATTATGCAACTAGTTAAGGCAGAAAAATCTAACTGTTGGACATTTAGATTATTATCAAGCTTTTGAAATGTGTTATTGTAAGCAATCTTGAAATAATACATCGTTTTATGCCTGTAGTGTGTATACCTTTGGTGATATAAATTTCCCATAAGTAAATTCCCACAAGTGGAATTAATGGGCCAAAGGCTATGATTGTTGTTACTGTTTTTTAAATATATTAACAAATTACTTTATAAAAGTACTATAATAATTCGAAAGTTTGGATTCCCACTAAGTCAACACACTTGACCATCAGCAAATTTAAAAATCTCCTCTAGTTCTTGGAAACCTCAAAAACAGGGAACACAATTTTATTTGCAGGTCATAATGAAGTTCTAGAATGAGGTCTATCATGTATCACTTAATAGTTCTAAATGGAGGCTTATTCACTAACAGTGGGATGTGGTTGATTGACTCAACACTTAACACCATGAGTTCAGCCTTATAAAACATCAGAAGTAGGGAGCTTTGCTTTAATACATCATGGATATGGTGTTTTCTTAGGTTCTACACAAGTATACCCTGAGATAAAGACTTAGGCACAATTTGAGAGTAGATCCCAGGAAACTCAAGTAAATGGAGTGGGAAAAGTCTGACAGGAAACAGAGGGAGCCAATAAAAGGTGTGCTAATAAGTGAGTGATGCCTTGGGAACTGTTAGTTGCCTTGTAAAATGTTCTACGTAATTACCTGTCATAGAAGTTGCGGAAGCTGAGTATTTTTCTATCAACTTTAATCAGGTTGTCCTGGGTGTGTCATATACCAGTATTTTCAGGATGTTCTGCTCTCCTGGCATTGGAGAAATTTGTCAGGCAGGGAAACAAAAATACAACCCTGTGTGGTGAGAGTCTGTTAGGGTGTTTAGGATGTGTCCACTGAAGCTATAAGTGAGTTCAGAGGTGGCCAAGTGAATACGTAGCATCTGCTGCACCTGGGAATGAGGGCCTCTTGCTAATAGTGTTTAATCCAAAGGAAGAATGAAACGAAGAACTCAGGACCTTCCTCTAGGAATTTGCCAAGCCTACAGCAAGCTCTGGCCATTGTACTATGATCAAAAGTATAAGAGCTATTATTATATTATAGATTTGGTATAAATGTGAATATATCAATTGGTCAGACGACTTGGGAATAGGAGAGTCTGGTAAACTGAATTTTCAAGTTAAACAAAAATATTTTAAATAAAATTTAAATATCTGGTTTTAATACTTGATAAAAATAGTTTTCCACAGTCAGAGTTATTTTACCTGTGTTTTTAAGTTAAATTTTTTATTTTGAAATAATTGCAGATTCATATGTAATCATAAAAATACAGAAGGAGCCTATGTATCTTTTACCCAGTTTCCCCTAATAATAACTTTTGCAAAACTATCGTAGAGTATCAAAACCAGAATATCAAGAGTAATACAGTCAAGGCACAGCATTTCCATCACCACAAATATCCTTCATGTTGCCCCTTTATAGCCACACCCACTTCACACTAGCCCCTCCTCCTTCTTAACCCAAGGCAGGTTTACAAGGTTCTACAGCAATGCCACTGTCTAATTCGAGCACATGTTGACCACCCCAGAAAGAAATATCATACCTGTTAGCAGTCACTCTTCTTTCCTCCCTTTCCCCAGCATGTGGCAATCACTAATCCACTTTCTGTTTTGTTTCTATGGATTTGCCTATTACAAGGGACATACAATGTGTGCTTATTTGTATCTAGCTTCTTCATTTAGCATAATGTCTTCACCCACGTTGTAGTATGTGTCAGAATTTAGTTCCTTTATATAGCTGCGTAATATTTCATTGTACAGATATACCACATTTAGTGTATCCATTCATCAGTTGGTGGACATTTAGGTTGTTCTGGCTATTATGAATAATGCTGCTGTGAACATTTGTGCACAAGTTTTTGTGTGAATGTTTTCTTTTTTGTTTTACCTGTTTTAAAAAGGACAGTTCAATACATGTGAGTAAATAGTTGTTTGATGTTTAGGACATGATAAATTATTGAGATTATCTTTCTGAGAATCAATTGTTTTAGTGCACAGACTAGCTATGAAAAACTGTATGGAAGTTTGAGTTGAACATGAGTTAAGTCTAGGATATATCCTCAGGTTTTATAATTTCTTTAACAACTCTTCATTTATTGATATTTGTTAATGTTTTTAATAAGCAAAGTGTACAGATATAAGTGAATATACACACGAAGTCATACTTTTTATGTTCTAGTTCTTTGAGATTTTTACATTACTGAGTTAATAACACATGGAAATGCTTGGAACTTGAACTGCTCTCTGAGCAAGAATCTAAAGATGAATTACAAAAGTTAGTAGAAATCATTTTAAAGAAATAGAGATTTAGGTTCAAGTGAAGCTAAACTAAAAATATTCAACATACTGTTAAAAAATAAAGACAATTCTGTTTAACATAAGCGAGATTGGTCTGAAAACAATGAGAGAAAAATCATAATCACAAGAAAAAAGTTGGCTGTGTCTCTTCAAGCTCCACTGGGGCAGAGAGAATTAGGTCAGTGAAATTTGAGTATTATATTGCCATTTGAAAGGCTATCCCTGCTGTGGAGATGGACACATCAGGCTGTTTTTGTCTCACACCATTAAGCCTAAAATCATCTAATTCACTCTCCTTATTCTAATTCCATACTAATCAAGCAAACTTCTGATTATAATTTGGTTTCCCTCACTGGTCTGCCTATAGGGCGAAAATGTGCTGGCCATTCTAATGTGAGTATTCCAGGCCACAGGGTGCCTGCATTTCTCATTGTAAGTTAATGAATTATCATCCTGATCTATATTATTCTTGTGAGACATAGTGCTTGTCTTGTGATGATGTGATCTGGTTTGTATGCCCAGAAGACTGAGGTCCACAGATATCTTTTCACCACAGATGCTTCTCAGTGGGGCTTCTCAAGGCATCCCCATTGAGGCCCAAGCCCCAAACTCCAACATCGCCCTTCACTGACCATTTCCTATTCAAACATCTATTTGCTGTTGGTCATGACCATTAGGCTGAAAATGCCCACAGGTAAAACTTTTACTGTAAAAATTCAAAAGGTCTTGGTCTCTCATTACCATCTGTTTCAATATTTCTTTACTGATGAGACAGGAACAAGAGAAATGAGATTTTTAAAAAAATATTTCTGGACACCATTTCTGAAATCATTTGACAACTTCATACAAACTCAGTTCCCAAACTTCCTGAAAAGAGGAAAGGTCAGAGAGGGAGAGGACAAGAGACTATGTGGCAGCTCAGGGGACTGTGTGAGATCAGAGACCCTGGAATCTCGCTGCTCAGATTTGAATTCTGGCCTCACCACATGTGATCTTTACCAAGATACATGAGCTTTTCTATGCTGTAATTTCCACATCTGTATTAATAAAATGGAGCATTGATAGCATCTGACTTGTAGAGTTGTTATGAGCATTAAATTCAATAAAAAGTTTTAGTTAAATGAACACATAGTGAGTCTTGGCATTTTTAAAAAAAACTTATTGTACCTACCAAATATGTTAAACTAGTGGCTGAACCTACCAAGATTTGACCTACCAGTATTACAGGCCTTGAGTACCAATCTGCAACATTACTTTTCTGGGTGGCTGTTGTAAAGCAGTGTTAACTTTGGGTCTCTGTTAAACTCACACTAATGTGTGAGGCTTCTAAAAGCCTCTTTGATTCATTCTCTGGGATTTCAGCTAAAGCAAGGTTACTATGCGGAGGCAAAGGATTTATCTCTGTGCAGTGTTGTTGGACTGTACTCTCAGATCTGCCAAGGGGAGCTTTCTAACTTGGTCTTTATCTGAAACCCTAGTCTACGCTCCCAGATTCAGTGGAAGAACCAAAATGACAAGTAACAGTTGAATTTATTGACCTCTAAGATTCCTTCCAACTCTGGCCTCTAGGAGCCATGTCTGTTCACATCCATGCAATTTCTTTTCCCTCTTATTGGTCAGTGGTCTCAGATCAAGCTGAATCCATGTGCGAACCAGTGGAGATTCTTCCAGAGAATGAGAAACCTGATGGCCTGCTATTGCTCTAGGTTATGATGTAGGTTCCCACAATTTTGGAACACAAAGACCTAAGGTTTGCATTAATGTTGTGTAAGCATTTTATTTTCCTGTAGGCAGAAAAAAAAAAAGCTTGTGGTAATTTTTATCTTAATCTGTTGACTGTTGTTGCCACTGTCCTGCAGTGTAGACAACACTAGAAGCGGGCATATTAAAAAACAATAATTTCCACAGCATTCTCTGGACTTATTTGTATTAGAATTTGCCAGCAACAATTATTCTATAGGTCTTAAATGCAATAGATAGCCTACTTGGACATTTTCCAGGTGATAGTGAAATGACTAAAAATAGAAATTTTCTGTCTTCCCACATTCCTATACCTTGCTTATTGTCAGTGGAGTTGCTCCAGGTATAATCTCAAGTATTAAAATTGGAAGAATGTCAGTTTCACTAGATGTTTGCCAGATTCAATGTGATATAAAATATTTTAAAATCTGCAGTGATGACTCTTTGTGTAATGCACTGTTCTATCTCAATTGAAGGAAACAATTACATTTTAGTGTTAGGTAGATAATTGTCTTTTTATGTTAACATGATTCAGACTTATGCACCTACCTTTGCAATTCAGAATATTACTTTTGTGTAGCAAAAGTCAATCCCTTTAGGATTTCTTAATATACAGGCAGCATTGGAAACTTCACTTTAAAAATATATGCAACATATGCTAGAAATATTGTGATAGAGATATTTACTCTTACTACTCAGCTTACAGAAAAGCAATATATTTGCTTCCTAAGTGCCTAGTTCTTACACTCAATGAACATAAATCATTCTGTAGCATTCACAGGAAATGAAAATTTATTTTTGGAAAAGCAGTAGATTAAAAGTAAGAAGAAGATGAGCCAGAAGGTGTTATCTCTTCATCCTGAGCATCTGTGTATCCAGTGTCTTCCAAACTTCTGCCAAGTTCTTCTCAAATTTTTGGCCTTCCAGGTTGTCTTTACTGCATAAATGGAAATAATCTTGAGGATAAAATGTCTCAGCAATTCAGTTTCTATATAAAAATCATAGTTTTTGTTTTTAAATCAGTGACTTCTGCAAACAGCACTGGAATACACCTGTGGTCCCCAAACTTCATTCCAAATAGCAGCTTGTAAGTCTACCTTAAAATAGATTCATTTTGTTAACCATTTGCTATTTCCCATCAAAAATACAGGTCACTAGAGAGACCAAACCCGGCTATTAACATCGTGGTGACTTTATTAGTTTACCCAGCAACATTTATTGAGTGCTTATTGTGTTCCAACCATTGAGCTGGGGGAGAGTTGGCACTCTCAGTGAGTATGTGATGCCTCTACCTAAAAACATCCTGTTTATTTTGCCCGTGTAGAAGAAGGATCCATATGTAAAGCTTCTATGCAGAAATGTACTCTGGTGTAGTGGCAGAGCAGGCATTATTTAAATCCACTCCATGAACTGTTTTAACAACTGGCAGTTCCACAGTCTTACCTCCTTGTCTCCCTTGGTTCGTTTATAAATAATTTGCATGCTGCTTCAGTTCAGTGTTTGGGGAGTAAACTGAAATCTATTTACTGAAATGATTAATATCCACTCCTACTCAGTGGTACATATAAAAAATTTATTTTTTGCAAATAACTCATTTACTTGAAAAATCAAGTATATTAAAAAGGGTGAAAAGATCTGGTTTTTGTTATCTGTGTTCCATGAATCTTTGAAGTAGAACTCTTGGGGATCCTCAGTTCACCCCCCTTATACTACTCATGAGGGATGAAGGGACTAGGAGCTGACACCCCCAGATTCTCTTTCTGTATCCTCAGACAGTTCTTTTGAGATGTGAAAATATTTTCCCCTTAGATTGTTAAATCCTGATTTTAGCAAAGAAGAAGAAAAAAAAACACAAGGATGTCAAACTGTAACAGAATGCCCTTTTTCTTTGGGTATAGTTCTTTAGAAAAGATGCACAGCCCAAAATATCATAAATTTAGAGTGTAAAAATGACTAACATTTACACTGTTAATTATTTGTTTTGTGTGTCTGTGTTCTGTGTTCCACTTTGTGTACTGACTGGGTTAGTTCCTCTTTTTCTTCAGAGATAGGGAATTCCACAACTATAATTCTGATATTCTGTAAGTTTTTTCCTACCTTAATAAGTAGTGTGTTTTGCCCTTGTACTAAATAAAAAAATAATTTTCTTGGGATCTGGGTCCGGCCTGGTTCTACCACTGCCTTGCTGTGTGATCCTAGGTACATTGTTTGTCCTCTCTGGGCCTCCGTTTTCTCCTTAGTATAAAGAGTGCCAGGCAACGGCCAATGGCTTCTACAATCCCTTTCATCCTGGACAGTCCAGTGTTGTGATACCCTGACACCAAGACCCTTCCTTGGTTGTCTGGCACAGTGCTGCCACATACCATCTCAGGAACTTTCATTTATTTCCCTTTGTGTCCAAACATCAGAAAGGCTTTCTGAGTTGCTTGGTAAGGTCAAATCTCTGGGTAAAGGATTTTAACTGGTTTTTTTTGGCCCCCAGGTACACCGTTGTCAATTCGTTTTTAAAAATAAAATTTGGACGTTATTGTTATCCTGCTTTAAAACTTTTTTTTTTTGAGACGAAGTCTCGCTGTCACCCAGCCTGGAGTGCAGTGGTGCGATCTCGGCTCACTGCAGGCTCCGCCTCCCAGGTTCACGCCATTCTCCTGCTTCAGCTTCCTACAGGCGCCCGCTAATTTTTTTATACTAATTGTATTTTTAGTAGGGACCGGGTTTCACCGTGTTAGCCAGGATGGTCTCGATCTCCTGACCTTGTGATCCACCCACCTCGACCTCCCAAAGTGCTGGGATTACAGGTGTGAGCCACCATGCCCGGCCCTTTAAAATGTTTTTGAGAACTCCTTAACAAGTCCTCTAAGCCCACAGAATGTCATTCTTGATTACCTTTCTCCACTCACTTCTCACCAACTTCCTCCTCTCCTTTTATACTCCAGGCATAATTAAATGTTCTCAGCTCTCATATCAACACCAACATGCTGCCTTCCGCCTTATCCCAGGAACCCCCTTGTCCTCTGTGCTTGGCCTGACTCCTACTGATCATCCACATTACAGCTTAAATGTTGCTTCTGGGACATATTTCCTGAATACCTAACACTGCAGAGACAGGTCCAGGTGCTCATTGTAGGTGCTCCCACAGCTCCCTGGATCACTTTCTAATATTTTTTACCCATTATTGCAAATATCACTGGTATTTTTCCACTTCCATTTTATTTTCTGTTGCATGCTGTAGTTCTAACTATAGGGCAGGATGTAGAATAGGTGCTTTACTAATATTTGTGGCATAAATGAATGACGAAAAAAACAAATGGAATTAGAAAGAAACTTGTAATTCTTAAGAGTCCAAAAGGTATCTCTCTCCATCTCCCAACTAGCCAAGGTGTTCTTCAGCCTTCCCTAGGCTAAACTTCTCCATTGGATCAATAGCAGGTGGTCAACAAAGACAAAAACACCATCTTCAGAATGACTCAGATCATCCTCTTGGGCAGCCCTTTTTGGATATCTCTATGAAATTCTGCAGGTATTGTGCTGCTTCAATACCCTGATTGTCTCCCTATTTCCAATTATTTCTATTCATAATTTTTCTTCTGGCTGGCATGAAATATCTTCCATGATCACAACCCATGCAGCCTATTTAATATCCATTTCCTTTTCCTCCCCGGTTGGTACCATATACTCCAAATATTGGGACATCTCACTGTTACATCCCCATGTTTGTCTTCAGACACGGTTGTTTGTTCTACTTGAGATGTTCCCATTTCCTCCCAGAAATCCTAACCCTACTTACTCTTCAAGGAGCATTGTGAGCTTCTGTTATATCATTTGAATTGCACAACTTACTGGACTCACCAGTTGGCATTGAGGGAACCTCTACATCTGGGGCAGGTCCCAATTTACCTTTGTCCAAGTTCAATCCACAGAAAGGTTTTGTGGTACTCAGATTAGGTTTTCGAAAACATAATTAATTGCCAGAGTTCAAAAGACAAGAGGGCATGCACAAAAATAAGAATTTATTGGGCATCTCTTGTAAAAACATCAGGAGATCTGGCAATAGCAGGTGAGGCTAAACTCTCATAGAGCAACATTTGATGCTGAATTGCACCCTTCCCCTTAAATGGACCATGACCTATCAAGTTGCCATCATCTCACCTAACCCAAGTATGTTACTTGCTAGGCCCCATATGCGTTTGAGTTTGAAGACAGACCCTGTTTTCCGTTTCCCAGTTTGGGAAGAGCATGAAACAATTACTCCCTGAATAAGGAGCAGTGCTCACTATGCACACATAAATTTATCTTTTGACTGATTTTTTTATCTTAACGTTATTCAGGTAACATGAGTACCGAAAGAATTCATTGTCTCCATCTTCCTTGTACAGAATGTTCACAGATTCTTGGTGGCCACTGAGATAATAGGGAGGTGCAGACAGAGAGTGATTTCAAAGGCTTCAAGCTATTGCTTAACAACATATGCTCCTTTAAAAATACAGAAATTCATAAAAATGCCAACTTTTGGAAATTGAATTTTCTTTTATAAATCATTCTCTCTCTCTTTTTTTGACAGCTGAAAGCTGACACGCATAATTATTTCCTGTTAGATACTGAAGAAAAAAAAAAGCCCAGGAGATATTGTCGAGACTGTTTCTGGGGTGTGATTGGGGGATAGGAGATGAGTAAGTAATGAAGACTTTCCTGCATAATAGCAATATTGTTATTCATACTGTATGACAATTATTAGTTATTAGTTACTTACATTTTCTCAAAACACAATACCATTCTAATCCATCTGTGCCCAATTTAGAGAGTAGCTCTAACTTCTTCCATAATATTATTGCTGTAATTTTTTGTGAATACCTCCTAGACCATTCAGTGGACAGCAAACAGTGGCCAGCTCAGGAGACACTGATAAGGACAGAGAAGCCACAAAAGATTTACACTTGAAAGCAAGATTTAGTTTATTCTAGAGGTGCCCAGAATCAGGGAAATAGATAGAAATTGTGAGGTTAGAGATTTAGACTTAACATATTAAAGCATTTTAAACTACATCAAGTTATCTGAAAATAGTCTGGGCTTTCTTGGGAGTTGATGAGTTACCTGTCAAAAGAGGTGTTCTGGAAGACATTGGGGCAGGGGGTGGGACAGAGGTGGATGAGGAGAAATTACTTTTTTTTTTTTTTAAGACAGAGTCTTGCTCTGTCACCCAGGCTGGAGTGCAATGACGCGATCTCGGCTCACCGCAAACTCCGCCTCCCGTGTTCAAGTGATTCTCCTGCCTCAGCCTCCCAAGTAGCTGGGATTACAGGCACCCGCCACTACGCCCAGCTAATTTTTGTATTTTTAGTAGAGATGGAGTTTCACCATGTTGGTCAAGCTGATCTCAAACTCCCGACCTCAGGTGATCTCCCCGCCTCAGCCTCCCAAAGTGCTGGGACTACAGGTGTGAGGCACCCTGTGCTGGTGATGAGAAATTAGTTAATGGGGACAGTGTACTTTTTTTCTGGTGATGGATACCCTAAAAGCCTGACTTTGCTGCTAGGCAATCTATACATGTAACAAAATTGCACTTGTACACCATAGATTTTTACAAAACAAAATACATAAATCTATTTTTTAAAAAAGAATACATTGGATTACCATCTGTAGGTAGTCGGTACTGAAACAACTTCTATAGGTTGGTCCATAACCTCCCAGGTCACAGGTCACTTTTAGCCTAGCGACATAAGGCAATTTTATGCCTCTGAAACTCTAAAAAGAAATCTGTTCATATTTATTAAAATTTTAATAATGGTTTACACTAGTTGTTAGAGTTATGGGTCCTTTTAAATTTCTTCTTCAGACCTTCTGAATATTCTAAAAATGAGCACACATAATTTCTCAAACAGAAAAAAGTAACAAGTTTCAAAGAAGAAGTATTTCCTTTGGGTTGCCTAAGGAAGCCAGCACTGCTACTTGAACTTAGACTATCAAAAATGTAACTTTGAATCTTTGCAATAGCTAGGTATTGCATAAGAATAGCTGAGCTAAAATGCAGCTTCAAAACCTAATTTAAAGACCACCTTCTCCTTAAAATGTGTCCTGGTTATCTCAAGAGGTCAGGATCTCTTCCTCCAGAATTCCTTATAGCTAGCACCTATTTAACTGCTTATGGCCTGAAATTAATTGTCATCCTCTCCTGTGTGCTTATTCTGTGTACCCAACTAGACTGTAAACCTTGAGAAAGTAAAGTGTCCCATGGCAGCAATTAGCAGAGTATTTAGGGGACTTGTAGATGTATAACTTAAATGCCTCTAGAGTATCCATTGCCATTTTCAAACAAAGATAACCAGGTCTCTCTGGCAGGTTTATTTTTGTTCATCTTTATAATATTATAGATTTCATTCCATTACAAACAATAACTAAAAATAAATACATTAAAACATATGCATGAAGTTTTGCACAGATAAAATTATAGGGTTTTTCACAAACAAAAATTATTTGATGTATGTGTATCTGTGTGTATGTGAGTATTCCCTCAATACATGGGTGAATTATGGTACAATAACCTCACACAATAATCAGAAAGTTATTTGTATTGGTTTTTGAATGGAATATATTTCTTTATAATATTCTCTTGCCATTCTCAAGCTAAACTGCTTGTCTTTGTTTAAGATGTTCTCCCATCCTTGCTATTCTGATTATCATTTTCACTTTTCCTGAGCACAAACAAACTAATGAGAAGAGAGGACAGGAGACATACTTCAAGTGTATATTGTAGATACTTCAAGTGTATATTGTAGATCAGGGCTCTTACTCTTCTAAAACACATTAATATATATTCCCATTATGGAGAAAAATACAAATTTAAGAGATGTTTTGTGAAATTATGCTTGGGAACATAGTTATAGTCAAAGGGCACTTAGAAATGTCACTACTTTAGTTTCCATTAAAACATCTTTTTCCAAAATACTATACTTTAAATAGATGGGTTTTGTGTGCTAAACCAGGATAATGCTGATATTGGTCATTTTTGGTGTGCTTCTATTTTCATGATGATAATCATCTCTGGATAAAACATATTAAGCCAATCAGGCTCATCCAATTTTTCTTTTGAAGAAATAGCATACCAACTGTTTTTGGTGCAGCTCAATGTAGCCAATTTTCAACACTCTCTACAGTGGCTGTTAGATAATAATTGTTCAATGTGAGGTACAGAAGCATGGTTCTGTTGCCTCAAAGCTGAGCAAATTCCATGGTGTGATTTACATGTTGGTGCTTCTCAAGGGAGCAGCCCAAGGATAGACCTCATCTGAATCCATGTGTTTGCGGCTCTTTTCTCTTCTCTAATTGGCTTCTTGCACTCACAGATTTCTCCATGGAACACTCCTTTGACAAATGGCTTGCACACAAATCCCTCTCTCTGGCTCTTCTTTTCAGGAATAAAACCTAAGACAAATAACCTTAAAATTAGAGTGAAGGAAATAAATTATGTGCTTTGACAATAAATATTTGAAAATAATACTTATAGTAGGTAAGTGATATAGTTTGAATGTGTGTCCCCACCAAATCTCATGTTGAAATGTAATTCCCAGTATTAGAGATGGGGCCTGGTGGGAGGTGTTTGGATTATGAGGGAAAATTCCTCATGAATGGCTTGGACCATCCCTTTGGTGATAAATGAGCTCTCTCTCTTTGTTCTCAGGAGATCTGGTGGTTTAAAAATGTGTGGCACCCCTCCCTCTCACACTCTCTTGTTCGCTCCTTTTCTTAGCATGTGACATGCCTGTTCCCCCTTTGCCTTCTGCCATGATTGGAAGCTTCCTAATACTGCTATGCTTCCTGTGTAGTCTAAGAACCCTGAGCCAATTAAACTTCTTTTCTTATAAATTACCCAGTCTCATGTATTTATGTATAACAGCGCAAGAAAGGCCTAATACAATAAGAATGTCTGGGATAGCCAAAATAGAGAAGTAACAGAGGTTTTGACTTTAGAGCAGTGGTTCTCAACCAGGAGAAATTTACCCAACACAGGACATTTGGCAACATCTGGAGACATTTTGGTTGTGATGAGCCTGGGGATGGAAGTAGATGCTACCAAGCATCTAATGCATCGAAGTGAGGGATGCTACTAAATATTCTACAATGCGCAGGACATCCACCTACAGCAAAAAGTTATCAGGCTCAACATGTCCATAGTGCTGCTGTTGAGAAACACTGCTGCAGACCCAGCATCCTTCTTAATTCTTTGCATGTGTGTGAATGCGCCATATATAGTCCTTTAGTCACACTACATTGGCCCCTTCAAATTTAAAGGGAGTTTATCTACTTTTGTGCCTCTGACTTCATAGAATTTTATGAAAGACATATAATTTAGAGATCAAAAAAGTCTACTCAGCTGGGCACGGTGGCTCACGCCTGTAATCCCAGCACTTTGGGAGGCTGAGGCGGGTGGATCACCTGAGGTCAGGAGTTTGAGACCAGCCTGACCAACATGGAGAAACCCCATCTCTACTAAAAATACAAAATTAGCTGGGCATGGTGGCACGTGCCTGTAATCCCAGCTACTCCAGAGGCTGAGGCAGGAGAATCGCTTGAACCCGGAAGGCGGAGGTTGCGATGAGCCGAGATCACGCCATTGCACTCCAGCCTGGGCAACAAGAGTGAAACTCCATCTCAAAAAAATCTACCCAGACATAGGTTGGAATGCATTCAGAAAATAGCTGTAGGGAACACTTGATGGACCAAATCAAACTTTTCTTTTTGGGAAACCAAACTTTCCTTTTTGATATTTAATTTTCTTCAGTAAGTTAATTGCTCCTTTCTTCTAACTCCGCACCTCCAATGCCTAGCACCATTCTTGTTTGAGAAAAGGACCACCTCAGATCTAGCTTGATTTGTATCATGTATCTGCAAAGCAATTAACTGGGTAAATTTTGTTTTGTTTTATTGTATTTTTTAGATTTTTCTGACACAATGAAGTTAGAATCTTTTGTTCTGAATGCATTTGTGTATCATATCTGTGTAAATATATGTGTGTGTATATATATGAATATAAATACTCATATCTCTATATTATTTCTATAATAATTATTCATATTAATATTCTCAAAGATATGAATCCTTCTTCTCTTTAGGGGGAAAAAGTAAAATTAAGTATGAAGTTCTATTTGGGAACTCTAGAATTGGTGCATCTGTTATGAACATCCTTGGTAATCTCAGGTATTCTGACCACACACCCAAAAGCAACAATGTATATGACTTCTGCTACCTTATTTATTTTCTGGGACAATACACAGTCTCACTGTGTTTGAAATATATCATTCAAATCATCTGATGTGCAGGGGCATTTTGAGTTGGCTGACTCCCTTTTGTGTTGGTTTTGAATCCATCCGGTGCTCCAGTGCAATGCATTTCCTAAGATTATATGACAGAAGTAGAGCTATTAGACCAGCGGCTAACAGCTCCCCTCTAGCTCATCGTGGGGTCAAATGGAATTCAGGAGGGGGCTGGCACACAGGAAGTGGGGCGCTGCAGTGGCGACTTGGGCAAATTTGACCTGTGAAAAATCCAGGTTTACACAAATGCTAAATAATGGATTATTGAAAATAATTCTTCACTTTGTGGATTTAATGACAGAGTTTCTTTGATTTGCATTACTCCAAGAACATTTACAATATAACTTAATTTTCAACAAAAAATTATACAGAATGTTCCAGGAAATGGTTCTTTTCAACACTAAAATTATAAATCACAGACAGTGTTAGGCGAGATCTTATTGATTACACAGCTTAAATTCTAACATTTTAGCTCTGAGGAGAAGCTCTTGAAGAAGGATAATACCCAATATTTGAGACATCATGGAAACTGATTGGAAAGTTTCCGTTTTATAAATAAGTGACCATGTACCTAGAGGGGCTTGGCCTGGGCTAATGATGACTTTTCTGCACATACCGTTTCTTGTTTTTTTTGGAGAATTTCCACAGATACTGTCCAATCCGGGAATCACAATTCCCTAAGGACTCTCACAACTCCTAAGTCTGTTACTAACCTCAATACCAAAATTATCAGCCTTTCTAGGGAGATAATCTATCAACCTGATGGTTCAATAAATGCTTGTTAAATTGCATTGAACCAGGTTTGTTCACACATCCATCCCATGGTGATAGACTCTGGGGATACCATGGCAAAAACATACAGAGGTTTGGTAGACCAGCTACTCTCTGACGGGAAATTGTGGCACAATTCTAAGACAAAGATTGGGAAAGGCTTTAGCACTTCAAAACACTTTCCTCATCTGCTCTCTGAAGCTTGAAATTCTTTAAACAGTAATGGGCATCTTTAGGAAGAAATGAATTCTATGGAAAGCAAAGTTGCTTAAGCATTTAACTGAAATAGAGAGTGAAAGTGATTCAAGTATTAGGCAAAAGTGCTAGGTTAGATGTCCATTGTCCTGGACCTCAATGGTACTTGTCTGCCCTACAGCCCTTCCTCCGTCTTTCTAGCAACAGACACAGGCTACTTGGTGATAGGGGCTGGCCAGAACCTCCTCTGAGTAAGTGGAATATCTCTACACCTTGACTGTGTTTATTTATCCAAGAATGGGCTCATGACCTTTATTGGGCCAGTCAAGGCATTTCCTAAGATTTTTAAACTGGGATCTGGGATTTTCTCAGAGGCCAGACCTGCCAGTGACCCCACTTCTTGCCAAAAGTAGGAAACAGAGCTGCAAGTCAGCCTTGAGAGAAGGAGCCTTCATGCATGATAATGTCTATATCCAGAAAGAATTAAGGGTGGTTAAGTGGTTAAAAATGCAGGTTTTAAAACACCAAAAGCAATGGCAACAAAAGCCAAAATTGACAAATGGGATCTAATTAAACTAAAGAGCTTCTGCACAGCAAAAGAAACTACCATCAGAGTGAACAGGCAACCTACAGATTGGGAGAAAATTTTTGCAATCTACTCACTGACAAAGGGCTAATATCCAGAATCTACAAAGTACTCAAACAAATTTACAAGAAAAAAACAATTCCATCAACAAGTGGGTGAAGGATATGAACAGACACTTCTCAAAAGAAGACACTTATGCAGCCAACAGACACATGAGAAAATGCTCATCATCACTGGCCCCATCAGAAAAATGCAAATCAAAACTACAATGAGATACCATCTTACACCAGTTAGAATGGCCATCATTAAAAAGTCAGGAAACAACAGGTGCTGGAGAGGATGTGGAGAAATAGGAACACTTTTACACTGTTGGTGGGACTGTAAACTAGTTCAACCATTGTGGAAGACAGTGTGGCGATTCCTCAGGGATCTAGAACTAGAAATACCATTTGACCCAGCCATCCCATTACTGGGTATATATCCAAAGGATTATAAATCATGCTGCTATAAAGATACATGCACACATATGTTTATTGTGGCACTACTCACAATAGCAAAGACTTGGAACCAACCCAAGTGTCCATGAATGATAGACTGGATTAAGAAAATGTGGCACATATACACCATGGAATACTATGCAGCCATAAAAAATGATGAGTTCATGTCCTTTGTAGGGACATGGATGAAGCTGGAAACCATCATTCTCAGCAAACTATCGCAAGGACAAAAAACCAAACACCGCATGTTCTCACTCATAGGTGGGAACTGAACAGTGAGAACACTTGGACACAGGAAGGGGAACATCACACACTGGGGCCTGTCATGGGGTGGGGTGAGGGGGGAGGGAAAGCATTAGGAGATATACCTAATGCTAAATGATGAGTTAATGGGTGCAGCACACCAGCATGGCACATGTATACATATGTAACAAACTTGCACGTTGTACACATATACCCTAGAACTTAAAGTATAATAAAAAAAAAAATGCAGGTTTTAGAGCCAGACTGCTGGAGGTCAGACCTATAGCTTTCTATTAATTCTGTGACCTTAATAAAGTTATATGTTTTCTTTTTCGCTCAGTTTCACCTTCAGTAACATGGGAATAACAGTGTTTTACCCCATAGGGCTGTAGCAGATTAAAGATGTCTCAAAAGCTTTGATACTCCTCCTATGGAGAGTTGGGGTCTATGCCTCCTCTTCTTGAATCTTGGAGGGCTCTGTGACTGCTTTAGAATACAGGTTCTTCTGGCCCAGGCCTGAAGAACAGATTTGTGTGACTTGTGTTATAGACCATCCACATAGAGTTAGAATCTCAGGGTTGATACGCATTGTGGACATCATATTGGCATGAAGCTGAACCCAGTTGAAGACAAGTGGCAGCACCCTGACTCTAAAGAGATTAAAAGGAAACGTAGGGATTTATTAGTGATATAGTTTGGATATTTGTCCCCACACAAATCTCAAGTTGAAATGTAATCCCCAGTGTTGGAGGTGGGGACTAGTGGGAGGTATTTTGGTCATAGAGGCCAATGTTTCATGGCTGGGTGCTGTCCTTGCAATAGTGAGTACCTACGAGATCTGGTTGTTTAGGTGTGTGGCACCTCCCACGCCACTCTCTCTTGCTCCACTTCTCACCATGTGAGATGCCTGCTCCCACTTTGTCTTCTGCCACTACTGTGTGACTTGTGTTACAGAATTTTCTCTTTCATCTTTGTTGTCTCTTTTTAAATCTGTAATTTTATTATCATGTGCCACCAATCTGTAACCTTGTAATAAAACCAAACATAAAAGGAAACCTTTATTTATTTATTTATTTATTTTTTGAGAGGGAAACTTGCTCTGTTGCCCAGGCTGGAGTGCAGTGGCGCAATCTCGGCTCACTGCAACCTCTGCCTCCGAGGTTTAAGCGATTCTCCTGCCTCAGTCTCTCTAGTAGCTGAGATTGTAGGTGCCCGCCACCAGGCTGGGCTAATTTTTGTATTTTTAGTAGAGGCGGGGTTTCACCATGTTGGCCAGGCTAGTCTCGAACTCCTGACCTCAGGTGATCCACCTGCCTCGGCCTCCCAAAGTGCTGGGATTACAGGTGCGAGCCAGTGTGCCCGGCGCAAAAATAAACTTTTTATATCCAAAACTTACGTAGGCACAAGTTCTGTCTTTTGGCTTTTTTTCACTAGTATATAATTTGTAGGGAGTAGTACTCTCCATGTTAGCAAACATAGCAATGAAGAATTCACTGCTTACGGTCCTGTGCACTGAAGCAATAAAATAGAGAAATGAGGACAAAGATAGAGAGAGAAGAAAAATTAACTCAAGAGAGAACCCGTAGTGGTTATGGAGATAAGCTGACAGAACCAAATAGATGTCTGCAAGTTTGTGAGGAAGCTAAGTGAAGTGGGTACATAAGTATGTATTGTTAACAAATCCAGATGCTGTCTCCAAACTTAAGCCTTGTTTGCAAAGAGAAGTAGGAATGGCGGAGCTTTTATCCCATATTTTTGGAAAATTTAGATGCCATTTGTTTCTGAGGTTTTGAAAAACATTTTCCTAAAAATGCATCAACCTGTTTGCTTTTGGTTGCTCTCTTTTTTAAAAGTCACTCTGAGAGATTTGGGGAAGGGGCGTCTAAATTGCTCAGACTCTGATTTGGGGATCTAGGAGTCTGGGACAAAATTAAAGGTGATTCTGGTTAAGGGATCAGCAGAAAATACATATACACCTTTTTTCCTATGTTCACAGCCATCCAGACCCACAGGAAATGGGCATTCTTGCTGAAAGTCATGAAAGCAACTGATTATCTGCTAAGTGGAACTCCAGGGAGCATGTTCATCCTTACATCTTACAGAGGAGGCGACTTTGCCATCCAATTAGTCCTATTACCTTCTCACTGGATCACAAAGGCATTTATGGGAATAAGTCATTTTTTAAAGGAAGAGAGAAGTGCATTTAACATGAATAGTTGTCTAATAGCATCATTTCCCCATTTCTCCTTCCCAACAAAGAACCCCAGGTAGCCTTTGTGCCTGGAGGTGCGGTGGTTATTTCATTCACAGTTCCAAAGATAGGGCTGACTGGCCTGGGCGGGAACGGGAGTAGGGGGATGGGGGTGGGGAGGTAATACTCTCAAACAGTGCATGGTCTGGAATTGGGCATTTTATTAGATCTAATAGGCTGATCACTTACTCTGTAATTGTGAGAACTTTTTTGGTTTGAATTTTTGTCCGCTTGATGTGAATGAAGAAACAGGTAGGACAATTGTTATAGGCAGCCATCTGTCCATAAGTGCAACCAGACTGAGGATTAAGCCAATGCCATAACTGGCAGAACAGGCCACCCGGCCAACGCTACTGAGCTGTGAGATTGATGTACCTGAATCCTGCCCTAATACAGAACTTATACTTTACAATTCATTTCATAATCTTCAAGGCCGTTAGAGAAGGCTTTCCTGATACTTGTAGCAAAAATCTTCCTAAATTGAAAAAGAAATGATATCTGAATACTAAGAACTCGTTCCTTATTTTCTACAACTAAATTTTAATATGGGGAAGAGAAAGTGAAAGAACATATGAGGATCCACGATGACAGACGGGAGGGCTGGGTAAGGAGAGTTGAAAGGTCACAGAAAGCAGAAACTAGCAGAGCTCAAAGAAAAGCTTATTGAATTCACAATTTCTGCATGAGTGTTGTTTTTTGTTTTGTTTTGTTTTGTTTTGTTTTTTGAGATGGAGTCTCACTCTGTTGCCCAGGTTGGAGTGCAATGGCGCAATCTTGGCTCACTGCAACCTCAGCATCCCAGGTTCAAATGATTCTCCTGCCTCAGCCTCCCGAGTAGCTTGGACTACAGGCGCGTGGCACCATGCCCAGCTAACTTTTGTATTTTTAGCAGAGATGGGGTTTCACCATGTTGGCCAGGCTGGTCTTGATCTCCTGACCTTGGGATCCGCCTGCCTCAGCCTCCCAAAGTGCTGGGATTACAGGTGTGAGTCACCACGCCTGGCCCATGAGGTGTTTTAAACATAGCTAACTCTAGACTAGAGGGCTGCTTCTTTTATTCAATATATATTCTATATATATATAGAGAGAGAATATAATGATTTACAACATATACATATATTACATATACATATACATATACATATATTATGTTTATGTTTTAAATCTCTACCATGTACTAAAAAAATACAAAAATTAACAAGATAAACATTTCACCAAGATAAACATTCATTTAGAAATTCACAATATTAAAAAGTCTATAATAATATTTAAATTTGTAATAGTTCCTTAGAATTGTATTACCTCATCTAATCCTTAGAATAACCCTGTGGGAATGTTCATATTTCTCCATTTTATAGAAAGGAATCAAAGACTCAAGTTGCCATAGCCATATAATAAGCCAGTTGTGAAACTAGGGTTTCTATCTCAGTCTACCTGATTCTTACAAATCCAACCTCATTTCTTCCACGGTACTATCCTCCTTGGAGAATAGGAGATTAGGATTCACCATACCCAACCACTTTAGGTATAGTAATCCCATTTGGCAGAGGAAATTTTTAGGTAATACAGTGATAGTAGGATTCTTCTAAGACCCGAAGCTCTGAATCACATAAGGAGAGGGAAGGATACTTCAACAGGCCAAAGTTGTTCATTTGTTAGATGGCTTGAGATGATTTAAAATATGATCTTCAGCCACAGAACTGAAAAAGGGATAATGGCTTAAAGCAAGATTGAATTCATTAGCTCTAGATTCTAATGACTTAGCGCTGTGTCAGAACTAGCACACACTGCTCTTATAAAAGAACCAGAACAAGTTCTTTGCTTCATGATGGTACTTCATCTTTTCTGAGTAGAGGTGGAAGACACAATTTTGAATCACAATTCATAAGAGTTGTTAGTGTACTAAGTAACAGTGAATATCCTCTGCTGTTTGCAAAAAAAAAAAAAAAAAAAAAAAAAGACTGCAAGGAATATGTGCAAATTGCAACATAATTGGCTAATGATCATGAAACAACAAGGGAACTAGTTGGATCATGAACAGAGTGGGCAAAGATACTATGAAGCATCACTAGAGAACCGTTTGTGATTTTTTTCTTACATGGCTCCATATATCCATGATGTCGCAGCTGAAGGCTATTCGGTGGCTGATCATTGTGCATAGGTTAATGTCTAAGCTACTTGACATGCCATATACAGTCCTTATGATCTGGCTAATGTCAGACTTTATGCCCATGCTTATCACCTTCTTTCTAGCATCATATTTAGTTCTCTAAATTTACCTAATTCTCTTCTATCTCGAGGCTTTCATTATTTCTATTTTATGCAGCTAGAATATTCTCTTTTCTTCTCTTAGAAATGATAACTCCTAATATGCCTTTAACTCCTATTCATTCAGATTATAGTAGCTATCTCACTTGTAGACTACCCTATTGTCAATCCTATTGAAGCCCTTTTAATATTCTTTTAATATTTACTTATTTGAATTCTCTACCACTTTGGATGATTCATTGTTGTACTCCAAGTACTTGATAGGTACTTGTCAGGAAGTACTCTTTCAGGAAGAAGTACTGATAGTACTCAATAAGGAAGAAGAGTTTTCTGGACTGGGTGATAGCATAGAGTTCATATCATTCAATAAAATCTTACTGCATTAGAAGTCTATGATTTAATGTATTAATGAAAATTAAGTTGCATCTACCTTATAGTTTAAGATGGCATGTATATTTGATCAGACTGTGTATCTATATAGATTTATAGATATAGATGTAGTACATTCCTCAAGCCCCACAAAAATGACAAAAATGTGTAAGGCATAAAACACAAAGGAATGAAATAATGGGAGGTGAGACATAAACAAGATTTTGGAAGCTAAAAGCAAATGGAAAAGTGAAAACTGACTTAGCATGACCACAAAATTTAATTCTGTGCTTGAAGTAAGAAGGCCAGGAAGAAACCTCATGTATGAAGGTGAATCCCTAAAAGGTGTAGGATTTGAGAAAAACAGGTATCTTGGAAGTGGGTTTAACATGGGCCTAAGCAGGTTGTTTGAAGATCTTTCTGAGGAGGGACAAGACTCCCAGATATGCTCCCTGACTCTACACAGTCACATGCTGACCCTCCTCAACCTGGATTGATGACTAAGAGTTTATTCTCTGAGGAGAGTGAAATAGAGTCTATACTGGGGATTCCAGAAATATTTAATGGGAGAAATCCATATCTAAAAAATAAATATATAGAGAGAGAGTTAAATGTAAGTTTCACAGGGAATATTGAATTCTCCTATTCTAGTCTTCTCCTACATGTCTCCCAAAAAGCTGGCAGCCAGCTTGTACACTTCCAGTAGGAGTTAGAAGCAGTTCTCCTCTAAGATTATCTGACCAACTGAACCTAAAAGACCTAAAACTGCTGACATTAATGATTCCCCAAAGAAACAGCCCATCCAGATAATGTTAGAGATACGACCATCACCCAAAATTCCAACTGAATGCATAGAGTTTCTAATCAACACTTTGTTTCTCACTCTTTAATATAAGCAAAAACAGGGATGACTAGACATTAGAAGCAGGCATTGGATATGGAAAACAAAGACAGAAAACAAACACAGAACTTCTCAACTGTAGTATCTTTAGTTTATAAGCTGAACAGTTTCTATCATTAATATTCTTAGAAATATAATTACATAGCATCCACAAGAAAAGAACAGAGTGCCACATTAAAGAATATGCAAGGAATATAAATGAGTTCTTGGTGATAGAAAAATAAGTTAAAATAATAAAACATTTATAACAAAGTTAAAGAAATCTTTCAGAGAAAGAACGAAGGATACGTGATGAAGAAAAGAAGATTAAAAAAAAAAAAGAAAAAAAAACCTTGAAAAATTAAAGGACCAATTCAGGAGATGCACTGTTTGAATAATGAATGGCCCAGAATAAAGAGAAAGGAGAAAATGGGGGTGGATGGTACCATCAAAGATATAATTCAATCTTCTTTTCAGAACTAGAGGACTTGATTATACGGACTGGGTCCATTAGGTGGCCAGTATGTTGGATAAAAGCAACACCAAAGTGCATTACTGCAAATTTAAAGACATGGTTGATAAAAAGAAAGTTCTAGAAGCTTCCAGGTAAAAAGAAAAAATTCACATGAAAAATTAGAAATCATAGTTGCTTAGGATTTCTCTGCATAATAGCAACTCCAGAAGCTGGAACACTAGAGAGAAATATCTTCGCAACTCTGAGGAAATATTTTTCAACACAGAATTGTATGTTTTAGGTATGCCAGATTGTCAAGATATTTTCAGTTACACCAAAAAAAAAAAAAAATGCTTGTGTATGCATTCTATCTCAGGAAGCTATTGGAAAGTGAGTCGTATCAATATGAGGGAGAAAACCAAGAAAGAAGACAAAACAGGATATGAGAAATAGGGGAGTCAGCAAAAGAGACAGGCAGGAATATCCTTATGATGATATTAAAAGAGTTTGCACAATAGCAGTTATTCAGCAGGGTTAGAGAGCTACTTTCCAGATTAGAGGTGGTTGAAAGGGAGATTTAAAAAAAAAAAAAAAGATGAAATGGATAAAAAATTTAGTTTGATGGTATTGAGAGAAGATTTACCCAGCTGGTGAAGATTTGGGAGCTGGGCTCATGATAAATACTTAGAAAACTAGGAAAGTAAGAAGAGAGAGAAGAATGAAGAGGATGAGGAGGAAGATTAAGTAAATTATCAATTCCAGATAGAACAAACTCTTGTACAGGGAAGGAAAACTAACTATGTTATATACCACATGTCTCAGCTATGAACAATCTTAAGAGAGTAAAAATGAATTAAATAATAAATATATTGACCTGAACAATCATATAGTATCATTATGTAAGGTAGGATGGTTGTAAAAGAAAGCTATATTCTCATCTTCCATATGGAGAAGTCAAGAGAGAATGTTTTAAACTGAAAAAAAAATAGAACTAGTAATGTAGGCTTGTTATTTAGAGATTTTTGATGTAAATACCAAAGTAAGCAATTTACAGGGAAAATATTTGCCTCTGGGAAGCAGATAATGGAGGTGGCAAGAGAGTACTACAGCTGTAAGATTGTGTATTATTGTCAGGGTAACACTAATTGCTATAACAAACAAACCCCCATGTTTATCATGGACTCAAACACAATGCAAGTTTATTTCTCACTCATTTAACAGCCCAAGGTGATTGTTTCTCTACGTGGATATGGCTGTCTTTCATGTGCTCAACAAGGAAGAAGAAACTCTGCCTTCAACTTCATATCTGGGGTCACTGTGTTTATCACTGTCCAAGTCTGTCAGGTGAACAAAGAGCATGGGGAATTGTCAAGGGTGGGGCTGAGAAAGTCACACCACATCTGCTCCAGTTGCCTTGACAGAACTCGGTCATAGGGTTGCTCCTAACAGCCACAGAGGCTGGGAAATGTAGCCTAGCTGTGTATCTAGGAAAAATAGGAGGACACAAATTTTGGTGAATGGTTAGCAGTCCTGCCAGAATTTGTAAAAATATTGGACTCTTTAAATTAAGTGTATTACAGATTGTTGCTGTAATTGTGGTTTTGTTCTAAAATGATAAGAGGAAACAATCCAGCAGAAGTCATTAAAATTTAACAATGGTTAGATTATGATAATTTTTTTACCCAGCATTTTTTAAATTATAAAACTTTATTGAAGATATAGAAAGTTCTTGTCTCAATTCACCTTGCTCCAGACTTCTCATAGGGAAAGGTCAAATGACACTTCGTATGAAGACAAACTCAAAAATCCAGTTGGTTCATCTGTAAAATGAAACCCAGATAATGGAGCAATGTCAACTTCTCTGTTATTATTTTAAGATTATATAATGGGATTATTATTATATATAATAGAATTATACAGGATTATATGTAAATACATATATAATAGGATTATATAATATATATATAGGATTATATATACTATATTATATATAATATATATTATATATGTATATACATAATAGGATTATATAATACACATATAAGATTATATGTATATACATAATAGGATTATTTAATCCTAGAATATATATTATTTTATATCTTATACATTATATAAATTATATATTTTATTTACAAAATATATATAATATATAATAGGATTATGTAATCCTAAAATAATGGCAAAGAAGGTGACAGTGCCTCATTCTCTGGGTTTTATTTTACAGATGAAGCAACTGGATTTTTGAATAACTAAGTGGTGAACCCAAAGTTGGTTATTCACTCATTCATTACGCTGATATTTATTAGAGCATCTACCGTGGACAAGTCACTGCTTATGTGAAGATGGTAACAGCAGCAAACAATCTAGACAAGCTCTCCTTTCACACAGAGCTTTAATCTTAGGGAGGATGCCCAGTGGCAGTGAGGACTCTAACCTGGGTCTTCAACCTGAAGATCCCAGCAGCTCATGCTGGGTCTCTCCAGCTATTAGACGTCTCATATATCATGTCTCATCTGTTACACTGAAATAACCTTCCTGCAGCTATATGATCAGATGGCCTCCCTTATTTATGGAGTGAACAAAAGATGCAAATTATATTTGGGAAAGTCCCTGTGAATCAAAAATGACACCCGTTTTCCCTTAACAGCTTTTAGGAGATGTTTCAGAATAGCATGGAAGAAAGACATGTGCACATTCCCTGTATAGTTTGCCATTCTTTTCTCCCAGCTATTAGAGGCACTTCTGACAGGTACCTTTTCTGGCAACTTCTAAAACTTGTGAGGTATGCTCTCCTATTTGACCAGGCCTAAAGAAGTCTTTTTTCATAAACTGCAATATCTATAAGATATTCATCCAGCTGCCTGAAGATCATCTCTGCTTCCTTCATTCAGGAAAATATCACCACTGACATGCCCTGCTTGCACTTAAATGATGTATGCTTAGTTGGTGCAAGGTTTAGTGAATAAGAATGTTTGAAGAAAAACTTTAAGCTTTCACTGGACATGAGGTCAGTTACAAAGAATAGGGGTCCTAGAAGAGTTGTCTTCAAGGGATTGTCATATAATATATTGTCCAAAATGTAACACTTTAAGAGTGGGAGGTGATGCTGTTAACAATGATGCTGAGACAAAAGGCATAAACAGAACTCCAGACAAATAGGAAATGTTAGCATTAAAGACTGACATTCACTTTCCTTGATGCATGAGTTGATATAAGTTGGTATGTATGTGTGTGTTTATATATTATGTGTGTGTATATACATACATACATGTATGTGTGTGCATATACATACATGTATGTGTGTGTATATATACTGATATATAAATACATACATATATTGCATATATACTGATATATGAATACATACATACATATGTATATATATCAGTATATATTATTCAGCCTTGAAAAGGAAGGAAATTCTGACACATGCTACAACATGGGAGAAACTTCAAGCCATTACAGTAAGCGAAATAAGTCAGTCACGAAAGAATAAATAATGTTTAATTCCACTTATATGGTACCTAGAGTAGCCAAATTCATAGAGACAGAAAATAGAACGGTGACCACCAAGGGCTGAGGGAAGGAGGAAATGGAGAGTGCTTGTGTAATGGGTCAGAGTTTCAGAAGATAAACACATTCTGAGGATGGATGGCGGTGATAGTTGCACAACATTGTGAATGCATGTAATGTCACTGAACTGTACACTTAAAATAGTTTAAATGAGAGATTTTGTTATATATATAACAAAATCTACTACAATAAAAATTGATCGACTTCACTCTCTTTATTTGGAAAATGATGAAACCTAGACAAGAATTTTCCTTTGGGCCTTTGTCCCAGGCATAAGCATGTTATGATCTCAATAGAGATTCATTGAGGTGGAAACACAGTTAAATCACCCACTGCTCCCTGCTGTGTTGTGACCACTTGGGAAAAGAAAGGAAGAGTCTAATGGGGATTAACTTCCTGGCAAAGCTGGCCAGAGAACTCAGCAAGTCCTCCCACTTGCCTCCTTAATCTAAACTTGAGTAAGCCCAGACTTAAGCCAAGAATGGCAGGCAGAGAATTTGGAACTAAGACAGCAATGACCTCCTGGATCCCCAGAAGCAAACTCTGTTGGATTTGCTTATCACATGGAGTAAGGCAAACTATCTCTTTCTAAGAGTAGGATACCCAAGAACCCAAGAGGAAAAAAAAGAACAAGGGGACCAGGAGGAAGATGACCCCATTGTCTTGGTATCAGATAGTGGCTCTCTCTGCCTGCCACTCTAATAAAGCTTCACAGATGTCAGGTTCTCTCCAGGCTCAATCATCACACAAGGAGCTCCCACACACTACAATCAATGAGGAGAGACATGTAAAAGGATTGAAGGGAGTACTGTAAATAAAGAGAAAATAAAGATTCCTGTTGAAAAAAAAAATTTTATTTTTTTATTTGCTATCACTTTTATTTATTATTATACTTTAAGTTCTAGGGTACATGTGCACAACGTGCAGGTTTGTTACATATGTATACATGTGCCATGTTGGTGTGCTGCACCCATTAACTCGTCATTTACATTAGGTATATCTCCTAATGCTATCCCTCCCCCCTCCCGCAACCCCACAACAGGCCCCGGTGTGGTGTTCCCCTTCCTGTGTCCAAGTGTTCTCATTGTTCAATTCCCACCTATGAGTGAGAACATGTGGTGTTTGGTTTTTTGTCCTTGTGATAGTTTGCCGAGAATGATGGTTTCCAGCTTCATCCATGTCCCTACAAAGGACATGAACTCATCCTTTTTTATGGCTGCATAGTATTCCATGGTGTATATGTGCCTCAACAGGTGCTGGAGAGGATGTGGCAAAAAAAACAGCCTCTAACCTTTCCTTTTCCTGTGCCTTCTCAGATATACAGCAAACCTTTTACTTCTTATTAACACACGATGTTGGGGAACATTGTCTTTTCTTCTTTACCCTGTAGCCCATCATCTTCTGTGGGCACCAAGCAATTTCCCATGTTTACTCCGAAGGCTGTTCACATAAGTGAAACCATTTGCACTGCACGCTGTAAAGGAAGGGAGGTTATGGCCCTTGGATCCAAGCTGAATAATTCAGACACAGTCTCATTCCTACACATCACTCTCCCTTATTTAACCCTGCATTGTTATTTTTATTTATTTTTTTTCTTTTGAGAGGGAGTCTCGCTCTGTTGCCCAGGCTGGAGTGCAATGGTGCAATCTCGGCTCACTGCAACCTCTGCTTCCTGGGTTCAAACGATTCTCCTGCCTCAGCCTCCCCAGTAGCTGGGACTACAGGTGTTCGCCACCATGCCTGGCTAATTTTTGTATTTTTAGTTGTGATGGGGTTTTACCATGTTGGTCAGGCTGGTCTTGAACTCCTGACCTCAAATGATCTGCCCACCTCGGCCTCCCAAAGTGCTGAGCTTACGGATATGAGCCACCACACCCAGCCTCCTGCATTGTTGACTAATTGATTTATATGTCTATGACCCACCCTATCCCTGAGCCCCAACTTTAGAGCAAGATCCTAAAGGGAGCATAGCATGTTGGTTGGCTGTCGAGACCTTCTTTCCACAACAGTCCATGCCAGCACACCCTGTGGATTCCATAAATGCCTATGCTCCTGATCCATTTATTAAGTTTCTGTGCATGCCTAGGGCAGGGGCAGGTCCTTGCCCTGAGGGAACCCATTATTTAATAACAATCTATAGATTCCGGAGCTGCTGGTGGCAGGGATGCTTTCTCACAGGTCCCATGGGCTTTGGGGGGAAGATTTTCAAGAAGATTAGGAGATGAATTTGTTTTGAAAGACAGTACAGAGTTAGCCTTGACTGCAAATTGGACATTTTATTGCATTTGTCTGATGGATAATCACAGATAAAGACTTTGATCTTTATCCCCATGGCAGCAATAAGAAAAAGGCAGGAACTCTGTGTACTATCTTTTATTTCTTTTCTCTGCAGTTCTGGGAAAATTGAGCCTATTTAAATGCTCAGAAGAGTCTCTCCTTGTGCTCTTAAATGTTGCTGGGCGTTAACCACTCTGTCTTTGTCCCCGACAATACCATGATAAGATGGAGATAGGGGAGGGACTGTGAAGCTCTTCTCTCTCAGCAGAAAGACTAATGGATGGGGAAGAATAAGAATGTTGAAAGGAAAGAAAAGGAAGAATAGAGGATTAAATGCTGAGTGTCATGGAAAAGATCAAGGGAAGAATTACAACAGCAGTGCAGCATGGCCGTCCCAATGAATGCAAGAGATCAGATTGGGGCTTTATTCTTCAGACACAAGATGCTGATGGTCTGTGGCCCAGATTGTCAACATCAGGACCTTTTACTCTTCAGATAGATTCTCCCCCCATGATCAAACCAAGTGAAGCATTCCACAATTAAACTTGTGAACTGACTCAAAAAAAAAAAATGGGCATGTGGAGAAGCTGAAATGGAATTCAGGGAGTTTGATAGTACCAGATGAAGCTTCTTCCCTCCCACGATGTATTTAACTGACTCCACTGGCTATAGAATCACTATGTTTGTTGATCATGTTTATCAAGGGCAGAAAGTAACTTTCACTATAAAATGAAGACTATATTAACTCTTATTTATCCTTACAAAGGAGTTGGCCAAATGCCAGTTCCTTCAAGGCTTGAGATGAAGTCTGGTGCACTAGAGCGGATGTGTGCAGGTGGTACACATAGGTACCAGGGTGCAAGCACACAGGCCCACCCATTCTAGGCAGCTGGGCTATGCTGCTGAGCCACAAGTGTCTGACCCTATTTGGACAAAGAGACTTAAATGTAGACATTATTTACCACCATGTCCAAAGGGGATTACATGCAGAATCATTTCATTTTCATGTTAACTTGTGGGATACTTTATATGATTAGTTTTAAGTCTAATACATTGTAGTCTTCATTCTGTCTTTATTTCCCCGTGTTTTAATGTAACCATAACATTGTAACTAGCCTGGACCTCACTTGACTTTTGAAATGCCCTGTGTGTATATGTGTGTGTGCGCATGTGCACGCATGCACATTGGACAGAGCAGCGGAAGGGTCTTAAAGTGAAAGGAATTCTGTGCTGAAAATTAAGTTACACAGAATGTAGAAATGATTGCCAGTTTTGCTCACCAGCCCTTTATTTATTTTTCAACAGCAGCACAAATCCCATAACAATTAATTCTGTACCTAGCCCCGGGAACCACAGGTACACCCAGTACAATGTGTAGCAATAGTTAAAACTTCTGGAAAGAAAACAAACTTCTAAGGTTGCCTCATAATCAGGTCTCTCCTCTAACATGATTTTGAATGACACATGTAAAAGAATGACCTCTAGTGGTTAGATGCCAAACCTACAGTGCTGTAATTAAGAACCAGATCTTAATGGGTGGGGGTGGGACTGTATTCAAGCAGTTATTATACAAAGCAGCATGAGGCATCCTAATAGAGAACACACACCCACCCAACTTTCTCTCTTATAACTTAGCAATTATACTGGAAAGGCATCAAAGTTCGCATATCTCATAGAAACCTAGAATTAGATCAGGGGCTTGTAGCTTCTTTCTCAATATGACACTATACACAGTATTTGCTCATACTTCTACTTAAAAATTCCCAGTTACTAGACACATTGTACTGGTAATTTATCTTTATTTTCTTCCTGCATAATAATAAACTCTGTTTTTCTTTGAGGAATAATTTTCCCATGTGCCTAATTTAGGGAAAGGGAGTGGGAGATAGAGCATATTATTCTACATCTCAGTGTAAAAGTGAAATGTGGACAATCACTTCCTCTTCCCTTGCAGCTAGAATCTAAGCTCATGAACTAAGAGTAAATAGTCATCTTCCTCCCCAGTAATTCAAATCTGGAATGAGGGGGTTGGTGATTGATAGTGGCAGTTAGGTACATGCCCGAAGGAAGTATCTAGAAGTAGAGGCAATGTCTAGCAGGTTTTGCAGTGGTTATGTCCAATGCATCTAGCATGTTATGCATCATTTTCAGGCCAGAGTATTCATCCAGAACTGTATTATTTCTTTATTCTACCTCTTTTTAAAGCTTGGCCTTTCAGGCTCCCAACATTCTATAGTATCTCAGCAATTTTATTGCTTAGACAACCAAAGTTGTCTTCTCTTGCTTGCAACCAAGAATTCAAATAGGTCAGTCTGTTTCATCAATGGTATACACCTCCTTATTATAGACACTGCCATAAGACTTGATGCTACCTTCTTCTGCAATTTGATATTCCTTTGGTGTAAGTTGAAAGTCTTAATGTGTTCTTATTAGTTTTCAAAGCCTTGGTGTTTCTGTGCTAACACTTCTACAGAGAAAGAAAATCATTTGCTAAAATTTAAATAACTAGAAGACAATTGCTTAGCTATTTTAATTAATTTGGGGTGGGGTGTGCTGTTATTGTTTTTGTACCTCCACTTTGAGGTGATATAAGCAAAGGAAACAAAATGTGCACATTGAGAATTGGGTTAAAAATAATAGACCTCAGACCTCTGTGAGTGGGGTATATTTCCTGTACAGACTTCTATACAGGTATATGTCTCATATAGACTTCCATATAGGTATATTTCTTGTATAGACTTCTAATTTTAACTATGAACTCCTTGGGATTTCAGGGAAATAAAAATATAAAAGAAGCCAGTTTTTCTTGTAATGTCTTATGAAAATCTGTTGATCTTATGGTGCCTGCCAGCACCATGGGAAAAGGCAACATAATGGCTTAGTCCAGCTCAAGGGTATGAGGTGTCTCATTATTCCTTCCATGAAGGGATTTTTCTGTAATCTTTCAGTTCTCTAATCAGCCACTCTCACCTATGTCCCACCCACTCTTATCACAATAGCATCCCATATCTCACATT
Organism: Homo sapiens; assembly: GCF_000001405.40. Lineage (NCBI taxonomy): Eukaryota > Metazoa > Chordata > Mammalia > Primates > Hominidae > Homo > Homo sapiens. The sequence goes on along the minus strand of NC_000010.11, from coordinate 105,795,895 downwards.
AACAGGAAAGACAGAAAAGACAGACTTTGTCTATTTTTCCTACCAATATATGCCTCCAATAGTTCTATGACTTTCTTGTGTACACTAAAACGTTTAAACCTTTCAGATTCAACTGGATTATATACTAGCATCCCCATATGAAAATAAGACTGGGCCAGTGTTATATAAATCCTCCACAGCAAATAGAATACAAATTATGCACAGCGTTAACGTTAGACTTCATGGGAAAGAAGATCAAAAGATTGCCCTGGAAACATATGAAGTTAGAGGTGACATATACCCAGAAATGTTTCAAGGCAGAAGAAAGGAAGGCTCTGACCAGTCAGCAGTCCTTAGTCCTATAAGTTGGATAATCAGCACAGCTCATTCCAATTCAATTTGACTCTCTTTTTTAAACCTGAATAAATAGTAAATATTTCTACCCAGAGTGATACATCTTTAACATCTTTAATTCTCATTGTACGAAAAGAATATTCACTTTGAAAATCAACAATATTTAGTAGGTCGAAGGATACAAAGTTGTAGTTACATGGCATAAACAAGTCTAGAGATCTAAATGTACAACATATGGACTATAGTTAATAAAATTGTATTGTCTTAGGGTTTTTTGTCAAGTAGATTTTAGCTATTGTTATCACAAAAAAGTAACTATATGAGATGATAGATGCATAATTTGCTTTACTGTTGTAACTATTTTACTACCTACATGTATTCCATAACACATACTGTAAACCTCAAATGTACACAGTAAAATTTACTTTAAAAAAAAGAAAATCAGCAATATCCAGAACTGTCAGAGTAAAACTCCATTTTGTTCACAATAGTGTACTTACTGTCCACTCCCCTAGCAAAATAAATTTGAACATGGTAGATTTTATGATGATTTACAGCAAAGACAGTTTTTAAGATGCTTCTGTTAGCCAGAAAACAAGCGTAAGCATAAAGGGCTTTGCCTGATTCTTCAGCTTACCAGTGTTGCCATGTGTTTCCTCTTCCAGTTCTACATACAGGAATTGAACAACCTCTGAACATCTCCCTTTGAATAGGCAGTGTATTAATTGCCTTGAAAATACAGTGTTTATTGGAGATAACCACAGATCTTCTGTAAACCTATCACCCATTTTAGCAAAGCATTCAGAAGCAGTCAATTGTCCTATTGAACAAATATGATCAACCTTTCCATAGCTGAGTCTTACTACACATCCATCAAAAACACAAAATAGTATGTCATCATGAACATTTGTAGAAGCTAGGATCAATTGGAGTTGTTTGAAGAAAAAAAAAATGGCCAAGAAACTCAAGTGACCTTATAAGCAGGAAAAAAAATACTAGGAATATTGATAGCAGGAAATCAAAGTATCAATCCATAGAAAGCAAGAGGGAGGCAGAATAAATTAAATGGCCCCTTAGTTCCTGGACTATATCCCTCTAGAGCAGTGCTCCAAAACACACATAAACACACACCCATAAGCAATACTTACCATCATGTTGGGTAATCTTGACCCAGTAGACACAGACACACAGACACACACACACACACACACACACAAACACACACACACACACACACACACACACACACACACACTCCCCATACCCTTAAATCAGGTTATGTCCTGACATTTCCCTACTTTTGCTATTATGGAGGAATAATTTATGCACAGCAAAGTACATAGATTTTCAGTGTACAGTTGGATCAGTTTTAACACACATTTTTAAGTTTCTCCTGGCTCTCAGGCACTTTTTTGTAGGCACCGAGATTGTTAGCCATAAGTAAAACAAATCCCCTGACTTCAAGGAACTTACATTCTAGCAGAACATGCAGATAGTAAACCATAAATATACAGAAAAACAGACTACAAATCAAGGTGAAAAGAGAAGGTGCATTATTCACAAATGGGGGTAATGGAACTTATCCTCAATACGATGACATTTCAACAGATCTGAAAGTGGTGAGAGATTGAGCCATCCAATTCTCTAACGAATGCAAATGCAGGCAGAAGAGAATGTATACACTTATGTTGCCGTCACCCAAACAATACATGGAACATTCCCAACACTCCAAAAGGTTTCTGTACCCTTTTCAGTCAGCCCTCTCCCCTACCCAGATAACTACTATTCTGATTTCTTCTATCATAGATTAGTTGTGCATATTTATGGACTGTATATAAATGGAATCATACAGTATACACTCGTTTGCGTTGCCCGATGCATTTCACTAAATTCATTTTTAGCTCCCTAGTGGGTTGCAACCCAGTTTGAAAAACAAATTGATTTAACATATACCATACATCAGATTGACTTGGTGGGCTTAAAAAATGCAAATTGTCAGACCCCCACAGAGATTCTGATTAAAATGTAGATTACTGGGTCCACTCCAGACCAATAAAAGCGTACATCCTAGTGTGGTGCTGCAGGTTGTTCAAAGACTACACTCTAATATGGTTTACAGATGAGTTTCTCAATCACTCTAAACAATGCTTTCACCACCTCCCCACCTCTATCCCAGCTAAGAAAAGACAGTGACTCCTTGTTTACTGCTTATGGAATCAAGCCAAGTACCCTTGTCAGATGTGTGAGGCCTTCCATCGAAGAGTCTTACTTTCCTGGCTGACACACCTTCCTGTTACTCAGCAACAGCAATGAGAATCTCATCTGTTTAGTGACCTCTCCTGCCCAGTCATCCCTCCACCGTGGAATCCAACGCTAAATTTCTACTGCATGCAAGAACCTATCATTGCTTGTTAAGTTGAATGACAGCCTCAGATTTATATTCCCTGGAAACTGTGTTGGTCATGGGTGGATCTGTGAATAATAGCCAAGTCTGTAAGGCATTACAGGTTCATTCAGAGGTAGATTGATTGACTTGTGTTATTAATTCTCCTCCACAAAATTGTGTTCTGTGCTATTTCTCTGTTAAAGAGAGCATTCTTTGGCTCTACCACCTTGTTAGAACATTGGTACTATGTGGTCTCCTGGGTATATCTGGGAACAGATTGGCCTCATTTCTCCTTATGCTTTCTCACTCTACAAATAGGAGAAAAAAAGGCTCTTTGAGTTATGGTTGAAACAAAAGTTGTAAAAATATATCACTAAAGGCAGGAAATAAGGGGTAGGATAAAGAGAGGGGGCTGGGAAATTAAAGGAAACCTTCCATTTCTAGTCTCTGTGTTTTGTTCTCTTCTCTCTGACCCATATAAAACACTGTAAAAATGTGTAGTTATCAGGGTTCAGTGCCCCTTCTCAGTTAAATTCCTTCATTTATTTTTTCTTTCATTAATTTAACATACATTTTTAAGTTTCCCCTGGCTCTCAGGCACTTTTGTAGGCACTGAGATTGTTAGCCATAAGGAAAACAAAGCCCCTGCCTTCAAAGAACTTTCATTCTGTTGGAACATGCGGGTAGTAAACATATAAACATACAGCAAACTATAAATAAGGATGAAAAGGGAAGGGTGCATTATTCACAAATGGAGGTAATGGAAGTTCTCAATAAGGTGGCATTTCAATATCTCTGAGAAGGGTGAGAGATTAAGCCATTCAGCTCTCTAAAGAGGGCAAATGCAGGCTGAAGAGAATTGCAAAGGCCCCAAGGTGGGGCCTTCTTCCGGTGTTTGAGCAATAGAAGTGAAGCTGTTGTGTGGGAGGTCAGAAAAGGATTGTGAAAGTAGAACACGAAGGGACGAACTTTGGCATTTATTCTGAGTTCATTAAAAATAAAACAGAGGGTTTTGAGCTGAGACACACGTAACGTATTTTATGTTTTCATAGATTTACTCTTACTACTGTGTTGAAAATAGACTAATGGGCAGAAAGGAGGAATTGTGGCAGCTATTATAATAAGCCAAGTAATAAACAGTGATGGTAACTTACAACAGGGCAGTGGGATTAAAAATAGTAGGATTATGATTATATTCTGATGGTGGCAATGACAAGATTTGTTCAAGTGTGGGGTATAGAAAAAGAGGGTATCCCAGGATAATTCCAAGGCTTTTGGCCTGAGCAACATGAGATATGAGGTTACCATTTACTGACACTATAGAAGGATTAAATTGGAAGAGGGTCTGGGAAGTCATTTTTGAACACCTTTTAGATATCCAAACAATGATATCCAGAAGACAGCACATATAAAACTGTAGCATTCACGTGATATGTTTAGTCAGAGATATAAACCTTGGATTTGTCAATTTATGGATGTCACATATATACATAGAATATTTATTTATTTATAGATGGCATATATGTAGTGGATTTGTCAATTTATAGATGGCATATCTATTTATATGTCATATATGTAATCTATAAATTGACAAATCCAATATATATGCCATCTATCTATCTATCTCCATGAGGTTGGATGGTTGTACAAAGAGAAGGAACAATGTCCAAGCACTGAGCTCTGAGATATTTCCAATATATGGCTGTCAGAGAGATGCAGAGAAAGAAATAAAGAAGACAGAAAGGAAATGTTCAGTTATATGAAAGGAGAACCAAGAGGATGTCAGATCCCGGAAGCCAAGTGAAAAGAAGATTTTAACAAGGAGCATGTGATCATACAAGATGTCAAATGCTCCTGATAGGTTAAGTAAAATGAGGTCTGATAATTAATTATTGAATTTAGGAACATGGAATTCATTAGTGATTTTGACAAGAGCCCATTCAGTGGAATTAGAAGCGATGAAATCCTCATAGAAATGGGTCGAACGCTGAATTGGAGATAAATTAGAGACAGGTTTTCTGTCTGAGAGTTGGAATAACTCTCAAGGAGATTTGCTATAGAGTGGGTAGAGAAATGGTAAAGTAGTTGAACTATATGAACAGATACACACACGTATCTCATCTTAAATAAACATACAGTACGTTTGTGAGCTCAGGAAATAATCTAGTTGAGAGAGGAAAGAGCTGAAGATTCAGGAGAGAAGTGGGGGAGTGAAACATATCCATGAAGTGATGTACTTAAGTAGGTGACAGACAATGAAATCTGGAGCACAGGGGAGGTGCTGGTCTTGGAAGCATGGAGAACTCAGCTATTGGACAAGGAGGGAAAGGGGAATGCATGGATACTGATGTTGCACATATGGTTGGGGTAGCTGGCAGAAGTTTTCTTCTCATTACTACTGTTTTGTCCATGAAATAGAAACTGAGGTCATCAGCCAAAACTGAAGATGAAAAAAGAGGTATTGGAGGAGCAAGAGAATACATAAGTCCTCTAGAAGAATTAGACCATGCAAGGATGAGGGAAAAGCAGTAGAATTTCTCGGCATCGCTGAGGGCCCATGGGAGGGTAGAGTCATCATAGTAAAATGTGAGTTAGAACTTCACATGAGTTCATCTTTATCAGACCCCTTTGCAGATGAAATAGACCCCACCATGTGATACAATTGCCAGAGGAAACCAGCACCAGATATATTCCAGGTCCTAGTTCACTGTCCCTACCTATACGCTCTTGTGTTTTGTCCTCAGTGTCATGTGTGTTGGTTTGCTCCTCTAAGCAGATCTAAAACCCCTCCTGGACAATGGTGTGTCTCCTATGCTACTTAAGATTTTCACAGGGCCTTATACTGTAGAGGACATAAACTTACTTAATTCCATCATTTATGTCTTTAGCAAGTGGTTATTTTCTGACTATCAGAATTGTGACAGATGGTAAAGCATACCAGGTCTTATTCCCTTGGGGAATGCTATAAAGTGACTATTCCCTAATTAGGGAGAAAATGAATCCAGGGAAAAGAAAAATCTACATAAGCAAAAAAACAACATGAGTGATCACCCCTCCCTCACCATTAAGATTTTGTACCCAGGAATCAGGGGACTCCAGGTAAAATAAGGGCCCTCTTTGTTTTAGAAAAGAATAGCAGTGGAATATTATTTTATTAAACTTGTAATCATAAAACATTATATCTGGGAGGAACTTTTTGATTTTCTCATCCTGAAAAGAGGTCCAAAAATGTTAGCAATGTGCTTAATTATTATTGATAGAAAACAGCATTGGAACCTCTGATGCTGGATTATCAGTCCAATTCTCTCCTTACAAAATCAAAGAGATGAACCAGAAACTAAAGATGTTCTCCCTCTGCCGCTCTAGATAAGCAGACTGCTTTGCTCTCTCCCTCTCAGGCTTGGGCTTGAAGGGGTGAATTAAGATGATGCATTTCTTTCTCTCTTTTTTGCTTTCTTTTTTCTTATTTGTAAAAGTGTGTGGGGTACATGAGAAATTTTTACATATATATAATTTGTATATAATGTATAGTACTCAAGTCAGAGTATAAATGTCCATCACCTGAGTACAATACATTTTTTAAACTATAGTCATCCTACTCTGCTATCAAACATTGAACTTATTCCTTCCATCTTACTGTGTGTTTGCACCGTTTAACCTACTTCTCTTAATCCTCCCCTCTTTTCTTCACTTACTCTTCCCAGTCTGTTATCAGTTTTTCCACTCTGTACCTCAATGTGTAAAAAGTTTCTAAATTCCCACATATAGACGAGAACATATAATATTAGTCTTTTTATGCCTGTCTTATTTCACTTAAGAGAATGACCTCCAGTTCTATTCATGTTGCTGCAAATGACAGGATTTCATTCTTTTTATGGCTGAGTAGTATTCCATTGTGTATATGTAGCAGACTTTCTTTATCTATTCATCCACTGATAGAGACTTAGGTTGATTCCATATCTTTGTATTATGAGCAGTGCTGCAATAAACATGTGAATTCATGTATCCCTTTGATATATTGATTTATTTTTCTTTGCGTAGATATACGCAGTAGGATGGAATGGTACTTTGGTTTTCCTTTGGGTAGATACCCAGTTGGATGGAATGGTAGTTCTGTTTTCATCTTTTGGGAGAAATCTTTATATTGTTTTCCATAGTGACTGTAGTAGTTTACATTTCCACCAACAGTGTATAAGAGTTCCCTTTTCTTTACATCTTCACCAGCATCTGTTATTTTTTGTCTTTTTAATAATAGCCATTCTGACTGGGGAAAGATGATGGCTCATTGTGGTTTTTATTTGCATTACCTTGATGATTAGTGGTGTTCAGAATTTTTTCAGATACTTGTTGGGCATTTGTGTGTCTTCTTTTTAGGAATGTCTAATCATATTCTTTGCCTACTTTTTAATGAGATTATTAGTTTTTTTTCCTGTTTTCCTTTTGAGTTCCTTGCATATTCTGGATATTAGTTCTCCTGTTGGATAAATACTTTGCAAATATTTTCTCCCATTCAATAGGTTATCTGTTCATTCTGTTGATTATTTCTTTTGCTGTGTAGAAACTTTGTTGTTTAATTAAATCTGATTTGTCTATTCCTGTTTTTTGCTTCCTGTGCTTTTGAGGTCTTATTCATAAATTCTTTGCTTAGACCAATATCCAGGAGAGTTTTCCCTAGATTTGCTTTTAGTATTTTTATAGTTTCAGGTCTTACCTTTAAATATTTAATCCTTTAAGAGTTGATTTTTGTATATAGTGAGAGATGGGGGTGCAGTTTCATTCTTCTGCCTGAGTCTATCCAATTTTCCCAGCACCAATATGGTGCATCTCTGAGCTCTCACAAGAGGAAATATTTAAGTTTGGCACACCAAATTGCAACAATTGAACTCTAATGCATCTGTTCTCAATACATGATCTGTCAGGGTCTTCCAGATCACAGATGCACTGGACCTTCCTAGTATTAATGTTATAAGAAGGAGAAGGAGAAAGAGGAGAAGGAGAAGGAGGAGAAAGAGAAGGAGGAGAAGGAGAAGGAGAAGGAGATAGAAGAAGGAGAAGGAGAGCAAGAATGAGAAGCAGAAGGAGAAGGAAGAGAAGCAGGAGGAGGAGAAGGAGAAAGAGAAGAAGGAGAAAGAGAACAAGAATGAGAAGAAGGAGAAAGAGCAGAAGGAGGAGAAGCAGGAGGAGGAGGAGAAGGGGAAGGAGAAGGAGGAAGTGGAGGAGGAAGAAGAAATGGAGGAGAAGGAGGAAAAATGAGGGAAGGCGGAGGGAAAGGACAAGAAAACAAAGGAGAAGAAGACAATGATCAAGCTTTCTTCTTTATTGTGAATAATTTACTCATGGAATTGAATAAAAACCAGGCTTGTCTTTACTTGTGTCTTAGAAGAAAGTCAGAACAGGTCTTTCCATCCAACCTGACTGGATGTTTTTGAAGCTGATCAAAATATATATTTAAAGCACCTACTAATTCAAGTTCCTAGCCTAAACATGGGACTCATAAGAATGAGTTTCCATATACCCTAGTGGCTAAAAACATTGTCTTTAGACTAAATAGACCTGGGGCTAAGCCCTATGACACCATTTACTTTCTCGTAATCCTAGGCAATTCCATTTACTTCTGTAAGTTTTATTGTCTGGGAAATAAAAATAATGATATTGTAATGGTCATTAGTTATATTCACTAAATATTTCTGGTTCTCTCACCTTTTAGGCACATGGTTAATTATACTTCCTCACCCCTTTGAAGTTATATGTGGTCCTGTGACCTGCCTTACCTATGAATTATAAGTTGTAGAAGCTTTAAAACACCTATGCAAGATTTGTCTCACTCTTTTCTCCTCTAGCACACCTATTAGTGATATTTAAAGTGGATGGTGGCTGCTCCATTAGTCTAGGTTCCTGATATGGTTTGGCTGTGTCTCCACCCAACTCTCATCTTGAATTGTAGTTCCCATAATCCCCATGTGTCATGGGAGGGACCAGGTGGAGATAATTGAATCATGGGGGCAGTTTCCCCCGTCCTGTTTTCATGATAGTGAGTTAGTTCTCAGGAGATGTGATGATATGATGGTTTTATAAGGGGCTTTCCCCTTCACTGGGCACTCACTTCTCTCTCCTGCCACCATGTGAAGGAGGATGTGTTTGCTTCCCTTTCTGCCATGATTGTAAGTTTCCTGGGGTCTCTCCAGCCCTGTGGAACTGTGAGTCAATTAAACCTCTTTCCTTTATCAATTACCCAGTCTCAGGCAGTTCTTTATAGCAGCGTAAGAATGGACTAATACAGTCCCTCAGTAGGTGTGATAGAAAGGGCCCATGATAGACATGTAGCATAAAGTAAGAAATGGTTGTCTTAAGTCTCTGATGTGTTCATGGAGTGTGTGCCTGTGTGTGTCTGTGTGTTTTAATGATAGTATTACTCATTTAATCCTTATATCACTCATATAAAGTAGTGGTATGGACTAACTTGTGTTCCCTCAAGATTTATATATTGAAGTCCTAACTCCCACTACCCCAAAATGTGGCCATATTTGAAGATAAGGCCTTTAATAAGGTAATGCTGAATGAGGTCAATAGGGTGTGTCATAATCCAATCTGACTGGTGCCTTGTAATAAGAGGAGATTAGGACACACAAAGAAACACCAAATACGCATGTGCACAGAAGAAAGACCACATGGAGACACAGAGAGAAGGTGGCCATCTGCAAGCCAAGGGAAGAGGCCTCAGAAGAAACCAAACCTGCAGCCATCTTTTTCTTGTACTTCTAGCCTCCAGAACTGTGAGAAAACAAATTTATGATGTATATGCCACCCAATCTGTGTCATTTTGTGATGGTAGCCTGATATGGTTCAGATATTTTTCCCCTTCAAATATCATATTGAAATGTGATCCTCAATATTGGACGTGGGGCGTGGTGGGAGGTGTTTAGGTCATGGGGGTGGATCTCCCATGAGTGGCTTGGTGCCCTCTCCATGGTAATAAATGAGTTCTTGCTCTGTTAGCTCATGTGAGTGCTGATTGTTTAAAGAAGCCTCCGCACCTCCTCCTCTCTTGTTCCCTTTCTCACCATGTGATATACTCGCTTCCCCTTTGCTTTCCACCATGATAGGATGCTTCTTGAGGCCTTACCAGAAGCCAAGCAGATGCTGGTGCCATGCTTGTGCAGCCTGCAGAACCACTGTATTAGTCCATTCTCACACTGCTATGAAGAAATACACAAGACCAGGTAACTTATAAAGGCAAGAGGTTTAGTTGACTCACAGTGACTCACAGTTCTGCATTGCTGAGGAAGCCTCAGGAAACTTACAATCATGACAGAGGGCAAAGGAAAAGTAGGCACCTTCTTCACAGGGTGGCAGGACAGAGTTAGTGCAAGCAGGGGAAATGTCAGACACTTATAAAACCATCAGATCTTATGAGAACTCACTATCACGAAAAAAGCACGGAGGAACCACTCCCATGATCCAATTACCTGTATCTGGTCCTGCCCTTCACATGTGGGGATTACAGAGAGTACAATTTGAGGTGAAATTTGGGTAGGGACGTAGAACCAAACCATATCAACCCTGAACCAAACCAACTTCCTTTCTTTATAAATTACCCAGTCTCGAGTATTCCTTTATAGCAATGCGGAATGGACTAACACACAGCCCTAGCAAGTAAATACAAGTAGGTACCACAGATCTCCCCATTTTACAGATGGAGAAACTAAGATTAAATATTTGCCTAAGGTGATACAATCAGAAAGTAGTGGAGCCAGGGTTAGAACTGGGCACTATTAACTCTAAAATCCCTGATCTAGAATCCTACTGTGAAAGATCTCTTTTCTAATTAATTAGTTAATTTCTGACATCCCAACTAGATTAAAAATTCCACGAACAAAGCAATCCTACCTGTTCTGCCCACAGCTGAACATCCGCCCCCTTGAAGAGAATAAGCAAAATAAACACTTGCTGAATAAAAACATATAGAAAGTATCAGGCACATAAAATAAATAATAGCAGAACGAGGTGGTATTTTAAGGAGGATTTAATGAAACCAGCAGAGGTACGGGCAGGTTTCAAAAGACCATCAAACTCTGCTAAAGTACCTTGGAACTAGCAGCAGTATTACCATTACTATATCCAGACCTGGAAAAAACAAAGAGGGAAAACAAAATTACCGGGACTTGATGATAAAAGAGCCAAGGGAGGGTTGTTCCCTGCCAGAGAATGTAGTTATGGAGTGCTTCCCAGTGCCAGAAATGTGCACCAAAGCAGGGAGGAAGTGGGGCAAGAAAAAAATGCCTGTCTCCTCCTACACTCTATTCTCCTTGTGATTCTCACTAAGCCAACCCCGATGGCAACCCAAAAGGCAAGAGTGAGTGATGCAGTTCATAGGAGTCAGTCTCCCAGGATACCAAAGCCAGAGAAGAGCAAAGATTTAGGAAGTGGAGAAGCAGAGGTTGGCTGTGAAGAATAAGCAGCGCCCTGGTAGTATTAAGCAAGGTATCGTTGATATCTTACTATTCGTTTTCAAGAACAAAATGTAAACACATGGAAAGACTTGATAAAGAAGTGGTATTAAAATGTTTTAGTCTAGTCATTCTTCAGACAACTCCAACAAATGGGATGCTAATTAACCTGAAAGAAATAGAACACTATCCAGAATTTATAAAAATTGACACCTTGCTATAAAGGATTATCATTCTGAGTTGCTAAGAGTTCAGAGCAGTTTGTCCTTTAGCATCCCCTCTAATCTAAATACACTCAGCAAGGAAATGATACAGCTCAAATGTTTCCTTCCTCCCCAGCAGCCCAGGCCAACCATTGCTCAGTTCAACCAATTAGCAATTTGCAGGGAGAAATGTGAACAAATTAATGCTGATGACTTGGGGCCACTAATTGGCTGCTGGGCTGTCGGAGTGGCAGCAGTTGCTAAATCAAATTGATGGCTAAAGGCTGTGAACTGTTCAGCCGTCTGCTCTTCTCATTTGGGGCTTCGAGGCCGAGGAAGAAGAGTGTTTGCTGTGGCATTTATGTCAATCTGCCATGACAGGCTCATCAACCCCAGGGCTGTGTATGGCCAGTGTGTTTACTGGTAATTGTGGGGCTGGCTGTGAGTCTGTGGCTCTGAAAAGGCAAAAGGTTGCCACTCTTGGAGAGATGCTCTCATCGTTTCTGACAGGCGGCAAGCCATCTGAGGTGAACTGTGAAGCTGACACTGTACGAGAGAAGCAGTGTGAGTCCTCAGAGGCCACATGTTGGAGGGCAGGTGCAGAGGCTAGAAGGAAAGTAGAAGGAACTGCCAAAGAAGTAGAATAAGGGGCACCAGTCAAAGAAAGAATACAGGCCTCTCAGACAGGACACCTGGGAGCAAGTTAAGTCACCTCACCCCCTTCACTATATGTCCCCTGGGTCCCTTTCTTATTTGAGAAATGAGAAGATTCATAAGAAGCACTGCTGGCCTTTACAGAGGAAGATGTATTACATGACAATGAAATGAGGAATTTAATTTATTTTCTTACATGTAAACAAACTCACAAGAACTTCAACATCAAAATCGGCGTTGTTCCCTATGATGTAGTCCTCTTAGAAGGGGTTACTTATTCCAGAGATGCTATTGTTTCTCAAATCATGTCTGGATATCTTTTCTGAGAACTGTCAGAGAAACAAACACTTGCAGCTCATTTAAAAAACAACCTTCCTAATGGTTTACAACAGTGATTCTTCAGCAGGGATGATTTTGCTCCAGGTCCCACCAGCCATTTGGCAATGCCCGGAGACATTTCTGTTTATTACATCTCTGGGCTGGAGGGGGTGGGGGGATGCCATTGATATTTAGTGGGTAGAGACCAGGGATGCTGCCAAACAACAATGCACTGGACAACCCTCCAACAACAAGTAATTATCCAGTCTGAAATGTCCGCAGTGCCAAGACTGAGAAACCTTGATTTACACTAATGTCCATCAAAAGGTAATTTGGTTGACTTTGTGGATTTATCCAAAGATCAGTTGAAACTAAGTCTCATGATTAAGGTGGTTCATCAAGCTAAAAATAATACCATTCCTGGATTGAAATGAAGGGTGATTATAGAATAATGAGACTGATTTTCTTTCTTGTCAATTTCCAACATGGAGTCCACAAAAAAGGTTTCAAGCAATATTGGCATTCATGTATTAATTCCTCTATTCATTAAATATTTATTAAACATTTAATATGCACCAGGAACTGGCCGGGCATGGTGGCTGACGCCTGTTATCCAAGCACTTTAGGAGGTCAAGGCGGGTGGATCACGAGGTCAGGAGATCAAGACCATCCTGGCTAACATGGTGAAACCCCGTCTCTACTAAAAAATACAAAAAAAAAAAAAAAAAAAAAAGAGCTGAGATGGCGCCACTGCACTCCAGCCTGGGCGACAGAACAAGACTCCGTCTCAAAAAAAGAAAAGAAAAAAAAATTAAAAGAAAATTCGTATGTTCAAGGTGTTCTTGGTCTAGAGGAATACAGGGTAATGAATCAGTGCTGTCTGGCAGGGTACACCCTTTCAACCTCTTCACTGCTCTGCTTCTCCAAAGGTTGTTTCCTATAAGGATTACATGAGTTAATAAAGGTAAAATATTTAGAACACACATACTAAGCACTCAGTAAATGTTAAATATGAGTTATTATTACTAAAAATATAATAACCATGGATGGCTTCCTAAATGGATTTCTTTGAAGAATACATACTATCTAGGAGTACACACTTGGGCATCCCTGAAAATATACAGATGCTGCCAATTGTGCATTTTCTATGTTAGGCTGTGATTAAAAATGTTCTCAACCAAAGGAAATATGCTTACATCCTCATTGGAGATGGTTAGTTCAAGAAAAAAAATTAAGCATTTTGTAGATACTCATTAGCATTTCTGATCTGGAAGGCAGTATTCAGATTACTGTCATAGATATATACTATTAATATAGTCAACTATCTCTGTCCTCATTTGGCTTTTAATAATCTTGAAAGATAAACCACAAGATAATTAACCAGGAAAAATGAGCAAAACCAATAAATGGTGGAGAGGTTCAAAAGAGGAGATCCCTCTAGGCTAAAATGACAGCTTCCAGAGGAATGGCAGTGAGAGAAAGAAGAGCAAAACAGAGAGAGAGACTTTGGTCCTTCATTCTTCTCATCCATGGAGGTCTCAGCAAAATGTAAGGTTTATTAAATCAGATGATGTGCAAAGGAAGTGCCAGGAAAATTTGTCGCAAGAAGGTTGGAATGGAGCCTTGAGCAGGAAAGAAAATGGAAGTGTTGAGCTGACTGGAAGCTGAGAACTTTGGTCTGACTGCTGATTCAGAATTATCTCAGGCTGACTAGATAGAGACAGGGAGGCCTGTAGTGGCTCAGTGAGGAAACTCAAAGCTGGATGCTCTAGGAGCCTCACTGCTATTTTCAGAAACCTGGCTTTTTTCCTAAGCTAGGAGCACCTTGCTGATACTTTCTGAGACTGGGCATAAATTGAATATTCATGAGTATCTGCTAGAATATCTGTTTAGTATTAGGCAAAAGAAAAAGTAGAAAAAGGTGGTATGTAAATCATATCTCTGCACATCGAACCCTACTTGAAATGCACTAAGGAGGTTCATTATTTAAAAGAACTTTGTAGGGAGGAGGAGCCAAGATGGCCGAATAGGAACAGCTCCGGTCTACAGCACCCAGCGTGAGCGACGCAGAAGACGGGTGATTTCTGCATTTCCATCTGAGGTACCGGGTTCATCTCACTAGGGAGTGCCAGACAGTGGGCGCAGGCCAGTGTGTGTGTGCACCGTGCGCAAGCCGAAGCAGGGCGAGGCATTGCCCCACCTGGGAAGCGCAAGGGGTCAGGGAGTTCCCTTTCCGAGTCAAAGAAAGGGGTGACGGACCCACCTGGAAAATCGGGTCACTCCCACCCGAATATTGCGCTTTTCAGACCAGCTTAAGAAACGGCGCACCACGAGACTATATCCCACACCTGGCTCAGAGGGTCCTACGCCCACGGAATCTCGCTGATTGCTAGCACAGCAGTCTGAGATCAAACTGCTAGGCGGCAACGAGGCTGGGGGAGGGGCGCCCGCCATTGCCCAGGCTTGCTTAGGTAAACAAAGCAGCTGGGAAGCTCGAACTGGGTGGAGCCCACCACAGCTCAAGGAGGCCTGCCTGCCTCTGTAGGCTCCACCTCTGGGGGCAGGGCACAGACAAACAAAAAGACAGCAGTAACCTCTGCAGACTTAAGTGTCCCTGTCTGACAGCTTTGAAGAGAGCAGTGGTTCTCCCAGCACGCAGCTGGAGATCTGAGAACGGGCAGACTGCCTCCTCAAGTGGGTCCCTGACCCCTGACCCCCGAGCAGCCTAACTGGGAGGCACCCCCCAGCAGGGGCACACTGACACCTCACAAGGCAGGGTATTCCAACAGACCTGCAGCTGAGGGTCCTGTCTGTTAGAAGGAAAACTAACAACCAGAAAGGACATCTACACCGAAAACCCATCTGTACATCACCATCATCAAAGACCAAAAGTAGATAAAACCACAAAGATGGGGAAAAAACAGAACAGAAAAACTGGAAACTCTAAAACGCAGAGCGCCTCTCCTCCTCCAAAGGAACACAGTTCCTCACCAGCAACAGAACAAAGCTGGATGGAGAATGATTTTGACGAGCTGAGAGAAGAAGGCTTCAGACTATCAAATTACTCTGAGCTACGGGAGGACATTCAAACCAAAGGCAAAGAAGTTGAAAACTTTGAAAAAAATTTAGAAGAATGTATAACTAGAATAACCAACACAGAGAAGTGCTTAAAGGAGCTGATGGAGCTGAAAACCAAGGCTCGAGAACTACGTGAAGAATGCAGAAGCCTCAGGAGCCGATGCGATCAACTGGAAGAAAGGGTATCAGCAATGGAAGATGAAATGAATGAAATGAAGCGAGAAGGGAAGTTTAGAGAAAAAAGAATAAAAAGAAATGAGCAAAGCCTCCAAGAAATATGGGACTATGTGAAAAGACCAAATCTACGTCTGATTGGTGTACCTGAAAGTGATGTGGAGAATGGAACCAAGTTGGAAAACACTCTGCAGGATATTATCCAGGAGAACTTCCCCAATCTAGCAAGGCAGGCCAACATTCAGATTCAGGAAATACAGAGAACGCCACAAAGATATTCCTCGAGAAGAGCAACTCCAAGACACATAATTGTCAGATTCACCAAAGTTGAAATGAAGGAAAAAATGTTAAGGGCAGCCAGAGAGAAAGGTCGGGTTACCCTCAAAGGAAAGCCCATCAGACTAACAGCGGATCTCTCGGCAGAAACCCTACAAGCCAGAAGAGAGTGGGGGCCAATATTCAACATTCTTAAAGAAAAGAATTTTCAACCCAGAATTTCATATCCAGCCAAACTAAGCTTCATAAGTGAAGGAGAAATAAAATACTTTATAGACAAGCAAATGCTGAGAGATTTTGTCACCACCAGGCCTGCCCTAAAAGAGCTCCTGAAGGAAGCGCTAAACATGGAAAGGAACAACCGGTACCAGCCGCTGCAAAATCATGCCAAAATGTAAAGACCATCGAGACTAGGAAGAAACTGCATCAACTAATGAGCAAAATCACCAGCTAACATCATAATGACAGGATCAAATTCACACATAACAATATTAACTTTAAATATAAATGGACTAAATTCTGCAATTAAAAGACACAGACTGGCAAGTTGGATAAAGAGTCAAGACCCATCAGTGTGCTGTATTCAGGAAACCCATCTCACGTGCAGAGACACACATAGGCTCAAAATAAAAGGATGGAGGAAGATCTACCAAGCCAATGGAAAACAAAAAAAGGCAGGGGTTGCAATCCTAGTCTCTGATAAAACAGACTTTAAACCAACAAAGATCAAAAGAGACAAAGAAGGCCATTACATAATGGTAAAGGGATCAATTCAACAAGAGGAGCTAACTATCCTAAATATTTATGCACCCAATACAGGAGCACCCAGATTCATAAAGCAAGTCCTCAGTGACCTGCAAAGAGACTTAGACTCCCACACATTAATAATGGGAGACTTTAACACCCCACTGTCAACATTAGACAGATCAACGAGACAGAAAGTTAACAAGGATACCCAGGAATTGAACTCAGCTCTGCACCAAGCAGACCTAATAGACATCTACAGAACTCTCCACCCCAAATCAACAGAATATACATTTTTTTCAGCACCACACCACACCTATTCCAAAATTGACCACATAGTTGGAAGTAAAGCTCTCCTCAGCAAATGTAAAAGAACAGAAATTATAACAAACTATCTCTCAGACCACAGTGCAATCAAACTAGAACTCAGGATTAAGAATCTCACTCAAAGCCGCTCAACTTCATGGAAACTGAACAACCTGCTCCTGAATGACTACTGGGTACATAACGAAATGAAGGCAGAAATAAAGATGTTCTTTGAAACCAACGAGAACAAAGACACCACATACCAGAATCTCTGGGACACATTCAAAGCAGTGTGTAGAGGGAAATTTATAGCACTAAATGCCTACAAGAGAAAGCAGGAAAGATCCAAAATTGACACCCTAACATCACAATTACAAGAACTAGAAAAGCAAGAGCAAACACATTCAAAAGCTAGCAGAAGGCAAGAAATAACTAAAATCAGAGCAGAACTGAAGGAAATAGAGACACAAAAAACCCTTCAAAAAATCAATGAATCCAGGAGCTGGTTTTTTGAAAGGATCAACAAAATTGATAGACCGCTAGCAAGACTAATAAAGAAAAAAGAGAGAAGAATCAAATAGACACAATAAAAAATGATAAAGGGGATATCACCACCGATCCCACAGAAATACAAACTACCATCAGAGCATACTACAAACACCTCTACGCAAATAAACTAGAAAATCTAGAAGAAATGGATACATTCCTCGACACATACACCCTCCCAAGACTAAACCAGGAAGAAGTTGAATCTCTGAATAGACCAATAACAGGCTCTGAAATTGTGGCAATAATCAATAGTTTACCAACCAAAAAGAGTCCAGGACCAGATGGATTCACAGCCGAATTCTACCAGAGGTACAAGGAGGAACTGGTACCATTCCTTCTGAAACTATTCCAATCAATAGAAAAAGAGGGAATCCTCCCTAACTCATTTTATGAGGCCAGCATCATTCTGATACCAAAGCCGGGCAGAGACACAACCAAAAAAGAGAATTTTAGACCAATATCCTTGATGAACACTGATGCAAAAATCCTCAATAAAATACTGGCAAACCGAATCCAGCAGCACATCAAAAAGCTTATCCACCATGATCAAGTGGGCTTCATCCCTGGGATGCAAGGCTGGTTCAATATACGCAAATCAATAAATGTAATCCAGCATATAAACAGAGCCAAAGACAAAAACTACATGATTATCTCAATAGATGCAGAAAAAGCCTTTGACAAAATTCAACAACCCTTCATGCTAAAAACTCTCAATAAATTAGGTATTGATGGGACGTATTTCAAAATAATAAGAGCTATCTATGACAAACCCACAGCCAATATCATACTGAATGGGCAAAAACTGGAAGCATTCCCTTTGAAAACTGGCACAAGACAGGGATGCCCTCTCTCACCGCTCCTATTCAACATAGTGTTGGAAGTTCTGGCCAGGGCAATCAGGCAGGAGAAGGAAATAAAGGGTATTCAATTAGGAAAAGAGGAAGTCAAATTGTCCCTGTTTGCAGACGACATGATTGTTTATCTAGAAAACCCCATCGTCTCAGCCCAAAATCTCCTTAAGCTGATAAGCAAGTTCAGCAAAGTCTCAGGATACAAAATCAATGTACAAAAATCACAAGCATTCTTATACACCAACAACAGACAAACAGAGAGCCAAATCATGAGTGAACTCCCATTCACAATTGCTTCAAAGAGAATAAAATACCTAGGAATCCAACTTACAAGGGATGTGAAGGACCTCTTCAAGGAGAACTACAAACCACTGCTCAAGGAAATAAAAGAGGACACAAACAAATGGAAGAACATTCCATGCTCATGGGTAGGAAGAATCAATATCATGAAAATGGCCATACTGCCCAAGGTAATTTACAGATTCAATGCCATCCCCATCAAGCTACCAATGACTTTCTTCACAGAATTGGAAAAAACTACTTTAAAGTTCATATGGAACCAAAAAAGAGCCCGCATTGCCAAGTCAATCCTAAGCCAAAAGAACAAAGCTGGAGGCATCACACTACCTGACTTCAAACTATACTACAAGGCTACAGTAACCAAAACAGCATGGTACTGGTACCAAAACAGAGATATAGATCAATGGAACAGAACAGAGGCCTCAGAAATAACGCCACATATCTACAACTATCTGAACTTTGACAAACCTGAGAAAAACAAGCAATGGGGAAAGGATTCCCTATTTAATAAATGGTGCTGGGAAAACTGGCTAGCCATATGTAGAAAGCTGAAACTGGATCCCTTCCTTACACCTTATACAAAAATCAATTCAAGATGGATTAAAGATTTAAACGTTAGACCTAAAACCATAAAAACCCTAGAAGAAAACCTAGGCATTACCATTCAGGACATAGGCGTGGGCAAGGACTTCATGTCCAAAACACCAAAAGCAATGGCAACAAAAGCCAAAATTGACAAATGGGATCTAATTAAACTAAAGAGCTTATGCACAGCAAAAGAAACTACCATCAGAGTGAACAGGCAACCTACAACATGGGAGAAAATTTTCGCAACCTACTCATCTGACAAAGGGCTAATATCCAGAATCTACAATGAACTCAAACAAATTTACAAGAAAAAAACAAACAACCCCATCAAAAAGTGGGCGAAGGACATGAACAGACACTTCTCAAAAGAAGACATTTATGCAGCCAAAAAACACATGAAGAAATGCTCATCATCACTGGCCATCAGAGAAATGCAAATCAAAACCACTATGAGATATCATCTCACACCAGTTAGAATGGCAATCATTAAAAAGTCAGGAAACAACAGGTGCTGGAGAGGATGTGGAGAAATAGGAACACTTTTACACTGTTGGTGGGACTGTAAACTAGTTCAACCATTGTGGAAATCAGTGTGGCGATTCCTCAGGGATCTAGAACTAGAAATACCATTTGACCCAGCCATCCCATTACTGGGTATATACCCAAAGGACTATAAATCATGCTGCTATAAAGACACATGCACACGTATGTTTATTGCGGCACTATTCACAATAGCAAAGACTTGGAACCAACCCAAATGTTCAACAATGATAGACTGGATTAAGAAAATGTGGCACATATACACCATGGAATACTATGCAGCCATAAAAAATGATGAGTTCATATCCTTTGTAGGGACATGGATGAAATTGGAAACCATCATTCTCAGTAAACTATCGCAAGGACAAAAAACCAAACACTGCATATTCTCACTCATAGGTGGGAATTGAACAATGAGATCACATGGACACAGGAAGGGGAATATCACACTCTGGGGACTGTGGTGGGGTCGGGGGAGGGGGGAGGGATAGCATTGGGAGATATACCTAATGCTAGATGACACATTAGTGGGTGCAGCGCACCAGCATGGCACATGTATACATATGTAACTAACCTGCACAATGTGCACATGTACCCTAAAACTTAGAGTATAATTAAAAAAAAAAAAAAAAGAACTTTGTAGTAAATCCTTATGAAAAGCAAGTAAGACCTTTGGGATTGTCCCAGCTCAACCATCTCCTAGCTGGGAAACTTGAAGTAAGTCATTTCAGTTCACTGAGACTTACTAGGACCCCATATTATAAATAAAGAGATTTTTTCTTCAGCCTTTTCCAAGAGGTTCTTATAAGCCTCAGATGAGTTAATGTATGTGATATCACCTCGTAGAGTGGTAAACCACCTCACTTTCTTGAAGATAATTAATTTCTGTCTGACTGGTTGTCTTAGAATGAAACTGCTTTCTATTGAGTCAGGTTTATAGGTTAAGAAAAATCTGAATTCTGGCAAAGTCAAGATTTAACCTAATTATTTCAGCCTTCTCTGTACATGAAATAGTATCACTGAAGTCAACTTGGAGCAAGTGTTTAAGACTTAAGCACTGTGAGTCATTCCCCTCGACTTGAAAACATCAAGGAAATAATGCCAGAACCATTTGCTCTATAGAATTTTGGTACAATAAAATGTGCTAATGGGTAAGAAAATGTTATTAAGTTAATCCTATTAAATCATTGCTATATATAGAAGCAATGCTATTTTTTTCTTCCTGTAGTATGAATTTGAGCTGAACTTAAAAATCATAGGGTGGAGGTACATCTCAGTGGAAATTAAGGTTACTTTGATAGAACCTCTTCCCACCCAAGTCCACACACACAGGATGCTCTAGAATGTGTTTTGGGAATCGCAGTCAGTCCAGTTATAAAATAACCTTGTAGTAAATCTTCATGAAAAACAAATACAATTTTGGGTTGTCCCAGCTTTATTATCTCCAGGTATGTGAGAATAGAAAGAAAACTCTACCTCCATACTGCCATTTATCTGTCAGAAACTACACAATAATAAAATTCCATGGCTGGCAGGACTTTTATCTAAACAAAACCCCTATGTTTATGCTTTCAGGTTTCCAGGAAGTAAGGAACTCACATAGTGATTATTCTTAGTGTTCCATTAAACGAGTTCCAGACTTTTTGGTCCCCAGCAGGAATTGCCTAATGAAAAGGATAGATCTAGGATGGCTCTAGCAGTCCCGCAAGATAATTGTTTTGTAAGTGCTTTAACACAGTTTCAAGAGGCAACAGAAACAGATGAACCATCAAAGGGAAAAGCAGGACTTTCACTGTCCCTCCCTCCTCATTGGCTGAGCTCTCTGCTCATAGGCTGCCTAGAGGCTGGGGGTCAGCAATTAAGTTACATCTCCATCTCAAGGGAAGAAACTGTCAATTACCAGAAACAAAACAAACAAATAAATAAGTAAATAACCAAACCTACCCAAACTTCTCTCCATTAATTTCATGTCTTAGCATTTCCCAGGCAACAATTGTGCCCCAAACAGCATGCCTGATTCTTCTTGACAGTGATTCATTTTAATGTTTAGTCTTCGGTCTCAGATATCTGTGTGTATGAATTTGTGTTTGATGCAAAAAAAAGTCTATAAGCTAAAAATGCCAAATACCATGAGCTGAAATGAAGGATAAGATACCAAGTCAAGTCAAGGCCAACGCTGTCATGGAGATGGGGGACAATGATTAACCACCTTGAAATGTGATGGTGAGAATAATCATAGCAATCCCTGACAATAAAAGTGCCTTTTATATTCTACAGAAGCCTTGAGATCCATTGCCTCTTTCATTCAATCAACCTTAGGAATCACTTCTTATGTTACAGACATTTTCTAGTTGCTGGAATGCAATGATGATAAACACACTGAATAAGGTAAATATTTCCTGGGAGCCTAAATTCTAGATGGAAGAATGCACACACAGTAAAACAGCACTGACAAGTGCAGTGATGAAACTGAACAGTCACCATCATAAGCCAGTGAAACAGCTCAAGTGGACAACTGGGATTTCTATTTTGTACAAAATTAACAAAATGTCCTGATTAAGACAAGTTCAAATAGCCAGGAATCACCAAATCAAGGATTAGCTCCATGTCCAAAACTCTGCTCCCTACACCATACTGCCTTTTAGAAGCATCTTATTTTTAATACCTACACATGGCTAGATGTTTGCACACACTGAGATACCAGCCTTATGGGGTCAGCTTGACATCAGCATTGAAGACTCAGGATTGAAATTTACCAAACAATGAATAAAGACTCTAAAGTTAGAGCCAACTTTAAATTCTGGCTTCTCCATTTACTGTCCGTGTAAACTTGGACCTCTCTAAGTTTTCATTTTCCTATCTGTTAATAGGGATGATAGTTCTCTACAGATTATAAGTTGTTGAAAATGTTGAAAGAAGATCTTATTTTTATGTTTCAATATTACCTAGCACAGGGTTGTAGAACTGGTTGAGTAAATCAAATCCTGTAGGATAAAGAGCAGGATGGATATTGTATTAAGTGATTTCCTATTACCCATGCTCTGAGAGGCAATTAAACATCCCTAAGAAACATTTCGGATGTTAAAAGTTCGATACGCTGGAATGTTGGTTATGTATTGAAAATTTTCAAATTTGCCTCTCTTTTTCACAATCTTAAGTTCAAATTATAAGAAAAATATTTTTATCTTTAAGAACTCAAGAGTATTATAGCTGTCATCTGAAGTTATAACTGAATAAAAAAGGACTAAGACTAGCACTAAAATATCAATCATACTAATTATTTCTGAACTTGAAAAATTTGGATTTCATAAGACTTTTATAGACTTCCAAATCAGATTAAAGATCAGGTCACCTATATCTAAGAGTGCTGAGCTAAATTGATCAAGCTTCCAGCAAAGTGGACAGCACACTACCAAGGATATGTAAAGAAATGAAATTCACTCTTGCTGCAAAATGTCTATCAGTTGAGTATTTTTTTGCGGCTTTCATGTATATCCAGTCAGCTGAGGTTCAAAAAGCAGCTTATGCATGGCTTAATGCTCCTTGTTGGGAACCAGTGATTTATTTTAGTATCTACATTTTAGATTCTTTAATTAAATAAGGCTAATTATAAGCCTCAACTTATAAGTAAGTTTGGGATTTTTTCCAGTTCATTGAGGTATTATTGACAATGGAAGTTTGTTTTGAAGGAAGTTTAAGAAAGATAATTTACCTCACTTATAGGATTTGGCACATAATAGGCACTCAATAAATGTTAGATATTATTATTACTATGAATCTCAAGAAGTTGAGTCCATAAAAAAATTTTAAAGTGAAGCTATAATAAAAGTTGCATAAAAGCAGAAATTGGTAGGCTAATCATTTTTAGAACTTCTTTCCCCCAGTGGCTGTGAAGTAGTGAAAGGGAATCTGCTTCTATTTATAATATTTTTGTGTTAATAATTTTCTTAAGAAAAAAATCACCTTCTCAACCTCATTTACAAATATTGAATAAATGTTTAAGAAATAGCAAATGGTAATGGAGCTCCATTATTGGCTTGCTTGAGACTTCCACATATCCTGGCCAGCTTTTTTATACAGAATATACTGCTGGAACATCCAGCATTTTATTTTACTCATTTTAACTACTGCTGTCTTTCCAGTTCCCCAGTTCCTAAACATCTGGTATCTCTTCCAATTGTGTGGTCAGTGTTTACAGGATGCCTATTATAACAATTATTTCTGTACCTGTCTGGATTCCCAACTTCAAGGAATATCCACTAGAGAAATGGAGACAAACCGTGTGCATGTCTGTAACCTTCATAGGATGTAACACTGGCACCTCCACATTGCAGGGCTAAGTGAATCCTGGACACATGAATAGTTTTCTCTCCAGGGAGTGAAGAGAAGCGATGAAAAATTATGAGGAGCCCTGAAGTGCTCTTTAGATACCTTTACCATGCCTTTCTATTGATTAAAAGGGATAAGACTGCTTTTTTCTTTATAAAGACCATGGAATCTAGAGACTTCCTGTATTTTACCATAATATTCCTAACTCATGAATACAAATGTAGGTTTCTGGATGGTGACACAGTAACTGAATTGTGTAGAAAGTTGAATTCAGCAAGGCTGTTTCCCTGAACCATATTGAACAGGGACCTTGAATGGATTTCTCTGTTTCTATGAGCATTAAGCCAAGAGAACATCTTCCATTAGAATCCAGTTTATTCTGCTGTTTGCTTGTGTGTATTGCTAAAAAGCAAGCTGAGATACTGTCTTAGTGATTCTTTTAGCTTTCCTCTTTTGTTCTGTTTTTCCTGCTTGTTTATTGTATTTGTCTAATGCTATGTTTTATCAGCATGTTGGAAATGAGATTCCTACTACCGATATTACAGGATGTAAATCAGCTTTGATTGAACTCTTGCAGACACATATTTGCCTAAATACAGTCATTTGCTATAAGCTCCTTTCTCAGGACCCAAGAGAAGGGGGAAATGTGTATGTCCTTGGTTAATCCCAACCTCAGTATCTCTGTTTTAACAGAGCAGTTAATGACTGCCCTGGAAGCAGGATCAAAGTGGAGGGGAGGTCTATTTTCAGCAACTTCAAAATACACAGCATAACGATCTGCTTCAGCTGTGTCCTAAGCACTGAGTCAGCCCACCTCTAAGCATGCAGGGCTGTTCCAGGCACCACATTCCTCAAGGACTACAAACAGAGTGCTGTTGGGTTTAGTATCTTATTAGCAGTCATTAGGGCAAATCCAGGTTTGCTTCTCAGCCTACACACTCCTTACCTTTAGAATCATGTTTTAATCAATTACATTTTACTTTAAACTTGGAAATTTTGCTGCTGAACTGCAGTGTGTCGTCAGAAGCTAACAGGGGTTTACATCATGAGTGTTAGCCAGGAATCTATGTCCTATACAGATACTATCAGTCCTATTAATAGCTACTAGCAACATATAAATCTTAGTTAATGAATTGTCTAATCTGTATCCTTTCACCACATATTCTACTCTAAACTGGAGCCCTGACAGCATGTTCTCCTGTCATTGGAGGGATGTCAGCCATATGGAACTTTCCAACCCAGTAGAACCCCTCAGTCCCATTATACACAGAGCTTGGCCACCACAATCTAAAATGGTTTGGATTAATTGTCTTTTCGTTAAGAGTCAATAAACAAGTTCCTGGGTCCACACAAGCTTCTTATAGCAAAAGCTCAATGTTGCCATTCATCATTGCCACCAGAGAACCAGAAACTCCATTTGTTTTCTCTGCTGCTGACAAATGTAATTTATAGGCTTTAAAGACCTAATTATTTTCTGCGATGCAGAATTAAATCTGAACACTTCTACTGGACAAGTGAAAGAGGTAGTGGATATCTTGGAAGTCAGCCCTCCAAACTGTTTCAGATTCTCAGGTGAGAGGAAGTAATGGGTAAAAAATTGCAAGTTCAGGCCAATATGAAAAGAGGGCAAAAATAATGTTCTTATAAACCCAGTGCCCGGCAGAAGCATTTACTACTGATGTTCATTCCAGATTCCCTCAAATATTACTGTCCATCTATCTCCTGGCTTTTTTATTTTTGGCTTCTATCTCCAAGTCCTACTCAGAGGACTGCCTGAGGGCTGTTTTGCCTTCCAGCCTGGAGAGCTAGAAGTGCCTGGAAGTTTACTTTCTTACTCTCTCCCCTGGGCATTCCTCAGCCAGTGACTAATCAGTACAGGAAAATTAAAACCCATCCACATCACCTTGATGAATTCAGAACAAACTCCAAAGTGCAATTCATCCCCTAGAATTCCTCTGCAAGATTCAGCTGAGGCCAGCTCGTTGCCTGAAATCTCTTCCTTGCTTGGCTTATTCCCTTTCCTTGTGTTTGTTTCACCACTCTCCTACTGGATTTTCTGTCGGGGGGGTGTCTCCTTAATAAATCACTTGACTATGAATCATAGTCTCAGAATCTGCTTCCCAGCCACCTGCCTTAAAGCTTACCCACAAACCAGCTTTATTATAAGGAAAGTACCCAAATGACATTGAAAAAGAGGGGTGGAAGTAGCTCTTAGTGCCCAAAAAAGACACTTGACAATGACAACATTCACAATCCGTGCCTGTCCTGGGTTAATCCCATTTTAAACCTGTACTTGGCCAATTCTCTCCTAGAAAGGGTCAGCTTGGTAGGGGAGAGCCTGCTAAAGGACCCCACTTATCATTGCAGGTACTAAATCACTTCACACCTGGGTGTGGCTTCAGCTAGCTGGCCATGACAACAGTGCTGAAACAAAATTGTAGATGCTCGATTCCTAAAACATCAAGTGCAGGCACCACTCTGTGTGCTTGAAGATTTCCGTGACCCTTCCTTACCTCCCACTTAGCCAACTTCAATTTCTACATTACTCAGCATGCATCCTCTATTCCCCAAGATATATTAACTCTTTATTGTCCCCAATGTTTCATCCTCACACCAACTCAGTGCCTTTGTTCATATTCTTTGTCTATCTAGAATGCATTCTCTTTCTACCAGTGACTAATCTACCATAAATTAATTTTGACTCCCAATACAGTCTTCAAATTCTTTTTCTGACATAAATTCTTCCAATTCTTTTTCCTTCAACACAGATTTGAAATTCTTTTTCCTTCTTTCTTATTGTCAAAGTCCCCTTCTTTGCCAATCTTTTACTTTTCTAAAAGTGAGATTTTTCTTTCCTAGATGTTGTATAAATTCCTGATATTTAATTGGAAAACATTACTTCAGTTTCCTTCTGATTCCAGATGAGTTCAATTTCACTAAGTAATTTATTAGAGACCAAGAAATGAACTCAAATAATATCAAATATATGTATTTTAAATGTTCCCCACCCCTTAAACTGCAGAAAAAGAAAGCCTGGCTAAATCCCTTAGTACATCACTTGAACTTAAACCAGAAAGGTATAAGGGAAACTTGTCAGAAGTCTTAATAAGGAGGTTATATTTATCTAGAAATTAACTGAGAGCACAGCCAATTTGTTTATTGTAAAGAAAGACCACCCACTTCTTCCAATTTACTTGACTGAAATATGGAACAACACAGATGTCTCTTTGGCAGAGAAGCTAACAGTATATATTAAAAAACTATAGAGAAAACTCTCATTTGCAGATAAATTAAATAAGTTGTCTTTGACCAGAAGATAAACCAGTCCACCCCATGTGTATATATCTCTGGGCAGGCAGGAAAATAAGTGAGCTCTTGCCCTATTTGTGTATGTTTGTTTCTGAGACCTCTGTCCACTGAGCAATAGTTGACTTCATCCATGGAATATAGGCTGGGTAATTGTTTGTTATTAGCAGATTCTAAATCTCTTCTTGGGACCTAAGTCTATTTATGTGACTTTGTAACATATTATTTAAACTTTGTTACAATGTTGCTGTTATTTTTCAACAAGGCTAATTTTCTTTTTTTGTTAATTTTTTAAAAATTATTATTATACTTTAAGTTCTAGGGTACATGTGCACAGTGTGCAGGTTTGTTACATAGGTATACATGTCTCAGCAGAATCTAGTTCAATAGGAATGTATCTCAAGGAAATTCATAGAATTTGTCATCAAACTCATTTCTCTCTCCTTTTGCAATGATAAAAATTGTTTCTACTTTTAGCAGTGCACTGAGATGCTATGAAGTTTTTATCTTGTTTGGGTTGGATAACTTCACCATATCTCCAATTTTCCTGTCTGGAAAATGGAGGAAATCAAATCTGATCATTTCTTTTTCTTCTTGATTCTGTCGAGAGAGACTAGTCTTAAAAATTTCATTTTAAGCAATAAAATATTGCCATAACTTAAAGATAATAAAGAACATTGAGGAATTACTGTGGTGATCTGATAGTCTTGGGTGACAGCTACTATTTAAATACTAATTTCTTCTCCTAGATTTTCTGTATCTGTATATTGTTGTGGTGAAATATATTTCTCACGTAGGAGATTGGAGTGTATGCTTCCTTTATATATGTGAAAAGAAGCAATTAAGAATTTTATATTACTTTACAAAGACTATTTTATCATTTTGAAAAAAAATATAGATATGGTGTGAGCTCATCACATCGTTTTAAATGACGGCAACTATCTCTCAGCAACTGCTTTTGGGGAGGACAAGCAATATTTTAAACTGTTCAGTGTGCTCTTTGCTGAAATGAATAGATGACTACAGTGATTATAGCAGCTAGGATATGATCACAGAATAAGCTACTTACACATTGCATCTGTTGGGGAGCTGTAAGGATGTTTAAAAAACAACACTCCCAGCTTCAAAATTTTAAAACAAGCTAATAATTGTTGATGGCATATTATGTGCTGGATTTTAGGATTTATTTTACTTGATCCCTGCAACAACCTTATAAAGTAACTATGGTGATTATCCTCATTTTACATAATAGAAAAGAGGTCCGGAAAAGTAAAGTTATCCCTCGTCTAAAATCACACTGCCAGCAAGAGGCTCAGTAAGAACTCAAACCAAGCAGTATGATATTACAGAGCTCTCACTCGTAACCATTGTACAATACAGTCTCTCATAGGCAGCCACATTTCACCTTCATCCTCAAAGAGCATGGAGTCAGATGTTCTGCATATGAGACTGTATTATACAAGACATTTTCCTAGTACTTTGGGATGCCAAGTGGGAAGATCATTTAAAGCCAAGAGGTCGAGACCAGCCTGGGCAACATAGCAAGACCTAGTCTTCACAAAAAAAAAAAAAAAAGTGAAAACAGCTGGGCATGGTGGCACACTCCTGTAGTCCCAGCTACTTGGGAGGCTGTGGCAGAAGGATCGCTTGAGTTCGAGGCTGCAGTGAGCTGTGATTATGACACTAAACCTGGGCAACAGAGCAAGACCCTGCCCCTTAAAATAAGTTTTTTAAAGACATTTATCCAGGCGCTTCTGCATTTCTTTGGGAGAGGGCAGACTAATAATAACCAGAGTGGACAGAAAAGATCTGTTACCTGGAATATCAGGGAATGGGTTTGTAAGATTAACCAACCCCGAAATGAGAATAAATCAGGATATATGGAGAACAAGAGAAAAAGCAGCACACAAATATCTCATTACCAACTACTCATGTAAAATAAAGTAAGTCAGCCTGAGATAAACTATCTAAAGCATCATAATACAATAGGGAAAGGGAACAAGTGACTATTGGGTGAGGTCCTCACTCTTGCCTTAATAAGTGCAATAATTATATCTGACAAACTTCCAAACTTCTCATTTATGTTGTGTTCGTTTTTCATAACTATTAAATGTAGGGATAACAGATATACTTTTCAACCAAACCCTAGAAGGTACTAATAAAACCCATCAAAGAGGGTCATTTATTTGTATATCATTTGCCCTTTGTACAGAGAAGGAAAACTTATGCGTAAAATGAGTGTTCCAGATGGATAGGTTCTATATAACTGAAGTCACCTTATATTTGGAATCAGCCAAAAGACACTGCTGCTTTGAAACATAGAAAAGGCACTTTGATAGTTGAAGAACAGACTGCCTTGAGGTAAGGGAGAGAGAGAACTACATGACTTCCAGCCATTTCGAGCATGGCATGATTTTGTTCCATTTCTCAGTACAGGGTGGCAATGCAGAAGGACAGGACTGTACAAAGGAAAGGACATTGGACTGAACATGGTGGCAGCAGGCTAAATAATTCCCCCAATATATATCCATGTGTTAATCTCCAGGAGCTGTGAATATTACCTAATGTAACAAAGGGGTCTTTGCAGTTGTGATTGAGTTAAGAATCAGGAGATGGGGGAGAGTATCCTGGATTATCCATGTGGGACCAGGATCCTCACAATAGTCCTTATGAGAGAGATGCAGGAGGAGTCAGGTCACTCCAGATGATGGAGTCACAGCGTATGATGAAGGAAGCAGAAATTTAAAGTGATGCATTTTGAAGACGAAGGGAAAGGTCACAAGCCAAGGAACATTGCCAGGTGGCTACTA
The DNA here is from genome assembly GCF_000001405.40 of Homo sapiens. Classification (NCBI taxonomy): domain Eukaryota; kingdom Metazoa; phylum Chordata; class Mammalia; order Primates; family Hominidae; genus Homo; species Homo sapiens. The sequence continues at coordinate 105,765,703 of NC_000010.11, read as the reverse complement.
GACACCAAAAAAGGCAAGGAAATAGACTCTCCCCTCAGACCTTCTAGAAGAAGCTACTTCTGTAGACATGTAGGGATAGCAGACACCTTGATTTTAGCCCAGCAAAACTGATTTTGGACTTCTGAACTCCAGAATAGTAATAAAATAAATTTATGTTGTTCTAATTCGCTAAATTTGTTACATCAGAAATGGGAAACTAATACAATGTTCAAGGTGCTTACTTTGCCAGACCCTTTGCCTCTCTGGCCACCTTTTCTAGCTCCTTAAATTAAGCCCCTATGAAATTAGAACCTTCTGTTTCTGGATCACAGTGATCTCCTCCCAGTCCAGCACTTCCCAGTATTCTAGACCTTCTTAAAGCTGGTCCCTAGTTCGGCATCATCGTCACTCGAGAACTTACTGGAAAAGCAAATTCTCTGGTTCTAACACACCCAAGTGCTCTGGTGCTGGGGGTGGGGGCAGCAACAGCGGGTTAAGCGAGCCTTCCAGGTGATTTTGATGCATGATTTTGAAAGCATGAGCACACCCATATGATGAAGCCCTGAGAGCCACTCTCTACCCACCTTCCCTTTAACCTCTTTCCTCCTTCCCTCCACAGCATGGTCACCTGGTCTTCCATGTTCCTCCGTCTTCATCCTTCCCTCATCATTCATTCTTTCTTCATGACTTTGCCCCAGCTAATTTGAGACTTAGATGGACTGGAAGTCTGATTCCTTTTTGTAAATGTGCGGGACCACAGCCCGTCTTTTGGTAGGGTGCTGGTGCAGAGAAGGAAGACAGGCAGGTTACCACAATTTCTAGAATAAGAAGTAGTTCACTCTGGATGATGGCATGCTTATTTTATTCAAGGTGGTTGTATCAACCTCCTCCCTCACCTATCTTTTTCCCTTCACCAAGGCTTCATATGAAGTTCTGGATCATGTGCCTTCTGAGATGTCATCATCCACACTTAGACTCTTCTCCAGGAAGATCACACATTTTGCTTTGAAAAATAATTCTAAAGTTGTCTTTCAGAGGACAAACTTCCTATGTGCATGAACGTATGGGTAATAAGAGGAGGATGTGCCCAACTAGCTTAGTTGTTGTTGTTGTTGTTGTTTTGTTTGTTTGTTTGAGACAGAGTCTTGCTCTGTCGCCCAGGCTGGAGTGCAGTGGTGCCATCTCAGCTCACTGCAACCTCTGCCTCCCAGGTTGAAGCGATTCTCCTGCCTCAGCTTCCTGAGCAGCTGGGACTACAGGTGTGTGCCACCATGCCCGGCTAATTTTTTTTTTTTTTTTTTTTTTTTTTTTTTTTTAGTAGAGATGGGGTTTTAAAAGCAGTTCACAATCAGTTATCCTGAGCATTGCCCAAAGCAACTCCTGTCCTTTATGTTAGCTGACAAAGTTTGAGCATCTCACCAGGTGTGCGTGACTTTCCCCTCCTTTATTTTACCTTTTATTATACCTTGAATCTGACTTAGACTGCTCTCTGTCTTGCAATATTTACTGAAAAGAAATGTTCTTCTGCTGGCTGCTTTTCTTGATTTGCAGCACTATTATAGTGTCATTATTTTTACATGTATTTTCTGTTACTTTAATGTCTTCTCTCATCCTTTACCACTGAATAGTATTCACCTGATTTTTATTTTGAGCGCTCATCCTGCAATCTTTTTAAGAGATGAGGTCTGCGTGCTGTCCTTTGGTGATTATTCTGGCTTCAGCTGTCCTCTGTCTATTGAGAAACCCCAATTTAAATCCATAATGCTGCCAACTCTTCCCTGAACTTTACATCTATTCATCCAGGTTTTGCTCAGCATCCCTGCTTGTACCCAGATTTTTGCATGTATTGCAGAAATCAGATGTATCTCCTTTCTTCACATAACCTCCACTTCCTGACCACAAGAGTGAGTCGGGGAGAAAAGATCATGACTAAAACATGGACGGTTTTTCTTCTCTCTCACTCATTTCCTTCTTTCTATATCCTCCTCTCTCAATCACCAAAGCATTGTGCTTATTTTTCTTCCTGATGTTTCTGTATTTCTGTATTACTCCTTTAGATTTGACCTCCATTACTTTTTGCCTGAAATATTATGTACTTAACTACTAAGACATCTTACCTCTAGTTTCGGTATTCATCTTCCTAAGGTAAAGCTCTGACCATTCTCCAACTTACATCTTTAAGTAAGTTCTCTTATCACTCACTGGCTTTGGATGAACACGGTTCGGCTCAACTTATTCTTCATAATCTAATCACAATTTGGATGGTCTGAAATATAACCTCTATATCCAGCAAACTGGAATTTTTAATAAAAATATAACTGTTTTCTCCCACTTTTATACCTTTGGTGTGCCCTATGTGAGAATTTACTATACACTCCTCCCCTGTTCCACCTGGAAGAATCTACATTCTTCTTTAAAGTCCGCTTAATACTCCTTATCTTCCATTCTGTATTTTTTCAACTCACCAGATTGAAGCCATTTATCTTTCCTGTAATTATAATGCTCCTATATATTTCTTATCTTATTCTGCCATGTATAATAAGTTTACCTGTCTTCGGAAATAAGTTTCTTTAGGACAAGGGACCAAGTCTTATCATTTTTTAACACCCTAGTGATTTGCACATTTTTAAGAACACAAATCTGAACTGAATTAATTGAAATCAACAGTTGCCTTTAGGCCAGGGTGACTAAAGATGTATAGTTTAGTAGAGTAGTTAATACCTGCTTCCTTTTCACAGGTCATAAAAACGTATGAGTTAACACATGACCAAAGTAGCAACAAGAAAATTAGGATAAAATAAAAATAGGTCCCTGTGAATAGTGTAACATATGTGAGACAGAGGGAGAACTGCTACTCCAAAAGTGAGCTTGTGTCTTTTTCCTCTGCAAATTATTCTCTGTAGACATTCCACATTATGTTAGATCAGCATTTGAATTTACAGGTTTAAGTTTCAGATAATTTGACTGGACCTGCACCATATCTAAGTCCCTGAAAATACAATTCTTAGAGTGTGATTATTGTGCTCTTATTAGAAAATACCTATTTATATTAGTATAAATAACATAGATTATCATCCTAAATCCGGGTAGACACTTAAGGACTTGAGAGGTCTAATTTAATCCTCCCCAAATTAGCCTCCAAATTTCATTATCAACATTTACATATGTTTCTAACAGGCATGGGTCTGATTGTTTTTACAGGTATTAGCTTATTTAATTCTCAAAACAATTTAACTTCATAGATGAGGAAACTGAGACTAATAGAAGTCTGAATATTGCCCAAGGTAGAAAAGCTAATGAGCTACAGAAACAGGATTCAAAGAGATGTTTTTCTGCTGCAGAGCCCATAATCCATAAAGCAATGCCTAATTCACTGGAATTCGTGTTCTCTACTGATGTTCCCTTACAAATTAGGGACTACTAAGCCTTGAACTGCATAAGAAAGTTAAAAGGACAGTAAAAACCTCTATTGATTGATTAGAAGAATCAATGCGTCAAATAGATGCAGATCCTCATATTCTATGTAATACTGAACTATGTATTTTCTCTCATCATTAGAACACTCTCAAATATCCAATACAAAACAAAAATGTGTATTGTGCAATTCTGTGTTAGATTTTTGCTTTAGTTTCTGTTCTTCAAAAGGAGACCCAAGGGGCTCTTGAAATGTCTACACCTGCAGCCTGAAAAAAGTACCTCAGTCAGACGAGTTCCTCTGAGAGATTATGCTCACCCATCTGTTTTCATAAAAGTTTAATGCCAGATAGCAAACTCATATATTGTTTTGTTTTAACTTAATTTTTATTTAATCTGTTGTCAGAAACCAGACTTCAGCAATCTGGCAGCAGGTGCACAGTAACACACATACAATGTGTTCTCTCTTTGCTTCCCCAAGGAACGGTTGGTTCACAGATGCACTGGCTCTACTACACATGGCAATAATTTGGACCCTTGCTGGGAGGCAGTCACTGACCCTGAAGGTTTATATCTTCCATTCTTAATCAGTACATCTCTCGTTACTTAACCAGTGCCAAGCACTGTGGTTTTCTCCCTCCCTTTTCCTTCTAAAATCTAGAGCCCAGAACTGCCCTCATATCACCACCTCACTGACCCCTAGCCAACAGCAAGCAAGTCATTTGCTGTAGTCCTGCAGTGGAAGCTTCCCTGCTGAGTCTCAAGTTTATGTCCAGCACCAATAGCCTCTGGCATTATTTTAATAATCCTCATTGTGTAGACAAGGTGAAACTTTTGTTCAGTTTTTATTATATGCTGTTACACTTCTGAGGAAGTTTCCCTCAACTTCCAGATATCATACTGTTTCCCTTCCAGTCAGCCATAGCCCATGTTGTTAGCAATGATATGTCATTCTTATTTTTTTTTCTGTGAATCAAGAATAGTAGAATAGCTATAAATTCCAGGCCCCTCCACATAAGAGAGAGACGCTGACCCTCAGCAGATAACTAAATAATCAGCTTTCTAGCAGTAAGAGTTGTGTCTCCTTTCAAGTAACCAAGTAACTCCCTGTCAAAGAGGTTCCCATCACACACACACACACACACACACACACACACACACACACACACACAAAGAAAAGAGAAAAACAAGAAGTTCCCATCAGGAAAGGTGATGGATGCAGTTGGATGAAACTTCTGTGTCTGGTTTTGATGGCCTTGTCAATGAAAGTGATGAGTACTTGCAACTAATATTTAGTCACTATCCATTATCATTTTATTCATTTTTCATCAAGATGTAGAGATGAGATTGGCTCAAAGATAAGGCCAGGATTAACATATGGGTACAGTGTACATGATCCCAGTTGGAGAGATTACAGCAAAGGATTCAACCCAAGGGAACTTGGGAAAACACACACACTTAGGAATAGGACTCCACCAGTATTAATACTTCTTAATACTAGGATAAAGAGAGGCAAAGAAATAAAGCAACTCATTGTTTTAGTGTCATGATTCTCAAACCTTAGTGTGCACCAGAATAACCTGATGGGTTTGGTGAAACACAGATTGCTGGGCCCAACCCCTAGAGATTCTGATCCAGCCTATTTGAAGCACAGTCCAATATTTTCTAAGAGGTTCCCAGGTGATGCTCATGCTCCTGGTCTGTGGCCCACACTGTTCCAGTGATTCTCAAGTCCAGTTGCACATGAGACTCACCTGAGGAGTATTTATAAAGCAGATGATTTGGCCTCATCCTAGGCCAATTAAATTAGGATCACTATGGCTGGTTCTCGGCATTATTGTTTTCAAGAGCTCCTTGGACAATTCAAACATCCAGCAAGCTTTGAGAACTACTCCAATGTAATTGTATAAGACCAACTTTCTGCTGGACTTGTTCTCACTTTGTGCCTTACATTTCCAGGAAGAGGCTCTGATACTTCTTTCAACCTTAGATCACAGTTCTTCCAGAACTTGTTCTACTCGGTATCTTCAACTTCTCAGATCTATGCAAGACATTAATTGACTAGAAAACTCCATTTTGTTCTATGGGCAGTAGAAAATGGAAATCTCTCTCAGGAACAGGAATTGTCTCCTACATTCTCACATCTCTCTCTTCCTTTCCTCCCCGCTTTCCATCTTTACATGGGAGAGACTTACTTTTTTTTTTCTTTTCTTTTTTTTAGCTCAGTGCTGGATCTGACAGAGGGCAGGCAAGGAGACTGAGGCTCCTGTTGTGTGATATACAGAGTCTGATACCCCTCATAGAGCGTATTCATTCCCTTGCAGGAGCAAAGGGTGTCAGCTAATTGCTCTATACTGGAGAGGCACCTCGAGTCAGAAATTCAGCTGAATTAATTGGCAACTCTGAAAATAATGGATTGTTGTGGTGCTGGGACTCAGCTGGAGAGAGCACATCACAACAGACTAATTAACCATCCCCCAGCCCTCACTGTTCTCCGGCTTTTCCCTACAAAGCTCCTTATTGCTTCTCATCTCCCCCACTCAGTGGGTCTGGGATGGAAGTAGACAGTCAGCACTATAGGTAGTTTGAGCAATGCTCTTTATATACTTTCAACTGAAATGAGAAATGCCCTGAACCTGGGCCTGTGGATAGTCAACCAAATGAGCAAATAAATCATGTAGTCCAAAAGACTGGAGAGATACTCTGTTTGCTATAAAAGCTTAGGAATTAGAGGTTAGATGACTGTAGCTTCTGGGGAAAGGTGTTTTTCCTAACTCCCTAGCTCATTAGGAAAGATTTATCTGGGTTGAACTAAACATGCCGTGAATTTATTTTGGGCACCTAAAAGACTGGAGTTTTTCTGAGTCTGAGTATGTCAGCATCTGAAATGTTGACACAATTTTCTTCTTTACCTTAGAAAGAAGCAAGAGAGTAGGAGAGGATGAGATAAGCCTGGTTAGAAAAGTTTTATTTTTCTTTCCAGCCAGTTTGGACCTTTGTCTAAATCAAGGTTTCTCAACATCATCACTCCTGACATTTTGAACTGGATCATTCTTTGTTGTGGGGGCTGTTCTGTGCATTATAGGATGTTTAGCATCCCTTTTCTCTACTAACTAGATGCCAGTAGCAGGCAACACCTCCACCCTTCAAGTTTTGACAGCCAAAAATGTCTACCAGGGAGAGGGAGGGGGAAATCACCACTTTGGTGAACCACTGGTCTTAAGTACATCATCCATTTCTTTTGACAAGCTTCATATGGGTTCAGATAGTCTGGCACCTGCAGAGGATTTTAATCTTTAAAAGTGTTTTTTGTGCACATTTGCTTATTTGATCCTTACAAGTGATGTACAAGGTTGAAAGGAGAGCAGATAATTCTGGAAACCAGAAGAAATGGAGGATCTTGTTTGAGGCCATACCTCAAATTCATGACAGAGCTGGGATAAGAGCCTAGATCTCTAGATTTACAGCTCTGCACTGTGTCACTGCCACCATTCTAAGTGGGCCATGAGCCTATCACCATGGTGTCATATTTACACTGAGAATTGTGACTGTCTTGAGACTCTGCTTACTACAATATCCTCATACATTCCCATGGGCTTGCATACTGACTAGAATCTACAGTGGGTAGAATGTGTTTATCTGGCTATGGTTAAGGCCCATCCATTGTTGCACTTTGTAGTTTGGAAAGGAAAATGCAGACTAAAGGAAAGTGATGATATATTCTCCTGTCTTTGGGTCTTTGTCAACTATAAAGTGCTTTCCTAAAATATTTGTATAGTCTCAAGAGTCAAAAACATATTCACATACCTTACAACTCTGAGCCTTAATCTTCTCACCCCACATGTATTGTTGAAGATTAAGCATGACTAATGCACTTGTCTAAGAGCCTGGATATTATCTAGTTGTACATACTTGGTTTGTCAATGATGCCCAAGGCTATAAAAGTTGAGTTACCGAAGGTCACTAAAGCAGTCGGGGAAGTGGCATAACCAAAATAAAGCCTAAGAGCTTAAATCAGCTCTCCTTTTTTCCCTAGAGGAAGGTGGTAGAAGAGAAAGGAATAAGCCAACCCAGTTAAATGGATTGCTTATAGCATTCAAAAAACAAATACTGGGTATATTCTCTGGGCAAGGCATTGTGCAATGCTGCCTCTCTTGAGTTCTGTTTTGTAAACCACTTCAAGGCTGCACTCAAGATTAAAGATGCACTGAGAAGCTGTCAGTCATGTGTTTGTTCATGATCTGTTGCTTCTTAGTAAACCTCTTTATATTTCTGTATTTCATTCTTATTCTATTAAATTTGCAAGTCTTATTCTATTAACTGTTCACAGATATGTGTGTGTCATCACATCTAACCATAGCTCTCCATTTTCATAATGTTTTCAAATGGTCCATTCTAACTTTTAGTCAATTTACAGAGGTTTGTACATACAAAGAGTTAAACTTTTTTCTAACTTCAATGAAATAGCGTTTGGCTTTATTATTATCATTGGCTACTTCTCCATTGAAAGAGGCTAAGTAATAGTGTTAATGAGCAATGTTTTTTTCGTTGTAGTTGTTCAAATAAAGACCTAAAATTTAATATGGAAGAATTCTTTATTTCCATTGGATGTGGCTTGCTTAGATTAAGAGAAAAAAAACCAAAAAAACCTCACAGCTCTTTTACTTTCCAAGTATGATTTACAGGGATCCTTTAACTTACTCAGTATTGATTGCAAGTGAATTGAGTGGTGACAGGAGAGGAATAGGACTTATTAAGTAGGTGGCCTTAAGTTATGAAGAGATTGGGATGCATGGGCCAACTGCCAGCCCCGAGTCTGATTTCCATGCCCCAGCTACCTGGAACCAGATAGGCCAAAGCAGATTTTTTTCTCTCTCATATTCCTTTTTGATCGAAGTTGGCTGTTCCAGAGTATCGTTTGTTATTCGTCCTGTGAATTCTTCTCCTAATCACTCATCCTGAGTAGAAAATATCAATCAACAAACCACTAAAAGTCACATTACTTTAAAAATTAATTTCAAACTTTAAAAGCATCTGTTGAACTTTATTTTTAAAGGCTACAGTTCTCTACAAAGAGCCTTGGCAGGGGTAAAATATTTTCTTTTTGAAGAGGCTTTTAAAAAAAAAATTGAAGTGAAAATATTGGCAACCGTCTCCAAGTTCTTCAGCAAATATAATTTCATTCCTCAGTATTAACTAAAAACTAGAAATGAAGAAAAGGCATATTTACCCTCTTCCTTTAATGTAATAGACCAACAGGGTTTTCACTTTGAGAAATGTCAAAATGTTCTAATGCCTCACTGCATATTTTAATTTACAAATCTCTTATTTGTTTTCTTTTCTTCCTCCTCTATTCTTTAACTAGACTACTGCAAGCTTTGAGTTTTGTATTTAACTACTTAGCCGCCAATCTTTTCCTTTGTTTTTTTTATTTTTTGTTTCTTATTTTTCTTTAAGAACTTCACTGATGCTTTTTACCATTTATAGTTGGGAAAATGAGCAAAGCTTTTGTAGATTGTGTCAGCCCCATGTTAAGCTTTAATTTATGGAGTGACTTTGAGATTTGGAACAAGATAATTGGTGGAGTAGTGAACACTGTGGGAAATATTTTACATGAATAAAAAAGGGAAAATTAGTTAACAAATATTTATTTACCAGCTGCTGTGTTCGGAACCCTTTGCTCAGCAGCTCAGTAGATAAGAAGGTGATGAAAGAAACCAGAAGTGCTGAGAGGCTTACTCTACGGGTGGGGACCCGTGGTCAGGAAAGTATTAAAATAACTTACAAAGGCACATAACAAAGGGCAAAGTCACATAAGACAAGCCAGAACAGAATTCAATAAGCAAAATAAAATGTCAGGATGATTATCAGCTCATTCTAATACACTTGTGTTTAAAACATGGTTTCATCATCTAATGGCCACATGAACTTTGGAAATTGACATACCATATACTCTTCCAATGTCATTACCCAGAAGTAAAATAGGCGTGATATTCTTTAGATAACAGGGTCAGAGATAATATCTGTGAAGCACCTTGCACGATACTTGGCACATAGGTAGGCACTGAAAATGTAATAACTTGTGGAGATGGTGGTGGGGGGTGTAATTAACTATGATTACTATTGTTGTTACTACCACTAGCACCACCGCTGCTTTCATTACTACAGTTATTGCTTTGTTCTTCCAGTCATAACCCAAACACTTGGAAGGAACTATTAAAACTTCATTTTTTTGGCTGGTTACAGTGGCTCATGTATGTAATCCCAGCACTTTGGGAGGCTAAGATGGGCAGATTGCATGAGCCCAGGACTTTGAGACCAGCCTGGGCAGCACATCAAAACCCTGTCTCTACAAATACAATAAAAAAAGTAGCTGAGTTTGGTGGTGTGCACCTGTAGTCCCAGCTACTTGGGAGGCTGAGGTGGGAGGATCACCTGAACCAGGGAGTTTTAGGCTGCAGTGAGTCGAGATCACGCCACTGCCTTCCAGCCTGGACAATACAGAGAGACCCTGTCTCAAACAAACAAACAAACAGAAAGAAAAAAAACTTCATTTTTGGCTAAAGGATATGTGAGTACACATGGTGTGTTTTAAATGTCACCTGATGACCAATCTGAAGATTTAAGTTTACAATGTTACATTTTGGAATTTTAGTAGTCATACTTAGGAAAGTAGTCGGTCTTCCTAAGTCAAGGAGAAAAGAAGAAAGCCAACACAGAAAGCTAACTTTGTTGCAGGTAAAATGCTAGGCTATCAGTAGTAGCATCTCATATGGAGCATCACTGGGTCAGGTGCTGCCAAAGTCACCTGTACTGCTAGTAACACCTTGCTTTTGAGAGGGGAGAGGAGAACCCCCAGAAGCATGCCTTGGTGGTGAAGATTGAACATAAAGACTCATGGTGGAGTAGAATTGCTACTCAAGTAGAAGTAATCTATGTGGAAACTACTTGAGTGAGGCATGGCCTAAACTGAAGGCCCTCAGTTTGGCAGGACCAGAAATGGAAATGTCTCAGCTGATCGAGAAGACTGACTCAATTTAAATCACACTTTAACTTTTCCTATGTCTAAAATTCTCTTATTTACTTGTCAGTATACTCCATGGTAATGTCAGAAATATCTGAAAAACTAGTTTGTAATTTTAGGTCTATTAATCCCTTGATACAAGATACATTTAAGAATTCAGAATTGTTTGGATTTCCAAATGGTGATGTAGTATATTTCATGGAGTTTGCCTACCACCCCCACTGCGCTCTGTAGCAGGGGTGGAAGTTGGAGGGAAATAATGACTAAAAATAGTCTTACCTTACTACAGTTCAGGTTTTTGCCACCAAATGAATTTCTTACAAAAATTACAAAGGAAGGAAGGAAGGAGAAAGGAAGAAAGAGAAAGAAGGAAGAAAGAGATAGAAAAAGGCAGGAGGAGTTTGGTTTGATAACTATTGGGATTTCAAATGAAAGTTTGTGGACCTGTAGAATAGTGTGTGAAATACAGAAAATCTGATTGATTTACTTAGTGAAAATTTATCCTAACTATAGAAAAGCCTGGTGAACGGGTCTTCCCAATGAAGGAATATACATCTCTGGAGGCCGAAAACTAACAGAAAATAGACAGACTTTCTTTCACCTTTGAAAGTAGAGAATACGGTCTTTAGGGGCTTTTTCTTCTGTACTATACATAAACTATCTGCCTTCGCTGATATTTTTTAATTTAAGTTATGAAAACTTTAGTTTTAGTTAAAAAATTATGATTCCTTAAAAAAAGATTGTCACCATTTTTGAACCCTTAGAATGTAACATGATCTGTGCTAAGTACTCTATAGAAACTCTCTCAAGTGTCTCATAACAATATTATAAGGCAGGAATTGCGTTTACTAATAAGGATACCTGTTTACTAATAAGAAAACTGAGATTTGGAAAAGCTAATTACCAAGATCAGATATCTGATAACAGAGCCAGAATTTTAAAATGAATGTCCATCAACAAAATATTTAACTGCAACTCTAGGGTACCCCTGATTAATCTGCAATCATTTTTTAAATGTATAAGAAATATACTTCTATGTGGATTACTTCTGAGGAAGGTCAGTGTTTTCCTACTCTCCATGTTGAATTTCTTTCTTTTTTTTTCATTTATGAAATAGCTTTTTCAGTACTTCATCCTCGAAACCTGAACTTGCCTTCATCCCATAAGAATCAGAGGGAACTTAAGGTCTTGAACCACTACTACTTCTTGTTATCCTGAAGAGCCTAGTCACTTTATGGTTCTCTGGCATAGAGCTAGACAAAGCAATGCCTTCAGTGTTTTTGATGGCCCCAGCTAATGCTGCTGTTAAATACCTGATTTTTGCAGTAGCAGCAATCAACGCCAAGTCACCAAACTGGTACTATATCCATTAGCCAAAGGGGAAAGGGTGATTACATTGGGCCCCTTCCATCTTGGAGAGGTGTCTGATTTGTCTTCACCAAAAATAACTTGTTTTTAAAACTGGTGGTCAGGAACAGTGGCTCATGCCTATAGTTCTAGCACTTTGGGAGGGTGAGGCAGGAGGCTCGCTTGAACCCAGGAGTTCACGGTCAGCCATGGTCCCGTGTTTGTGGCACTGCCCTCCAGCCTGGGCAATAGAGCAAGATTCCATCTCAAAAACTAAAAATGAAATAAAATGAAATTGGTTATCCCTTTTCTGCCTGCTGTGTTTCTGTCAACATTATCATCCATACAATTACAGGATGTCTTACTCATCATTATAGCATCCAATACTATGTCGCTTCTAACCAGAAAATCACAGTGAAAGATGCAAAGTAGTTCTTTCATTAGCATAATATAAGGGATAGAAGAGAGCATGCAGTTGTCACTATTCTAAATAAAGATATATTTACAATAATGTTTTAAATTATTCCTGTGTTTTAACTTAAAACATATCCATAGTCAGGAGAGAACTCTTCCACCACACACACACACACACACACACACACACACACACACACACACACACACACACACACAAAACAATGATTCCTTTGAAATGAAGCTGAGACTGCCACCTGACCAGGTATTCCCAACCTGGCAAAAAAGGCAAAATGGTGAGGGAGTTACATTGCCCCCTGGGATGGTCGATTCCCACTGGCAAGGGATTTAAGGGATGCTGTTGTACAATGGGAGCAAGAAAGAATATGGAGTCTTAGAGGATCCCTTTAGACATTAGTACTGCTTTCCTCATGGATATATTTTAATGGAAGACTGCAGGTAACCCCATATATGCAGAAACATTAGAAGCTAACATCTCTCAGGAAAACTTCCAGTAGTACTTGCTGAGCGCAGTTTGAATGTGGTGTGAATAGTAGAGACGTTATTTTAAGTACTAATTATGCCTTTGGGCCAGTTACAGAAACAAAAACTGTAACATCTACCTTATTTTTGCCATGTATATACATGCATGCATATATATTCTATGCACATATATCTATTCACCTATAGAATTATCTCTTTAAACTCATTTTCCTCTGCATTCTTCTTTGCCCCATCATTTGATATATGGTGGTATATCGAAGGTTAACTTATGAGTGTAGTCCTTTGGTTATAGGACATTAAGACAGGGTCATTGTAGTGGTTGTAAGAATACCCCCCACAGATTCTCAACCACAGGGAGTGTAATTGACCAAGTTCCCAGCTGTTGTGCTCTGAAGTCCAAAACTGCGTTTCTGCTGGGGCAGTGTTTTCCACGGACTGCTTCTAGCCAATGATCAGGTATAGCAGTGATGCTAACACAGGCTTTTTCCTAGGAGATGTGGCTCTCATTTAATGCAGAGCTTCAGCTCAGAGCTCTTCCATGGCCTTGCCTAGACTACACATTCCCCAGACTACCCAGGAGTTTAGGATGATTCCACTCAACTTTCCTTCCCACTTTACTTCCTTGTGGGGGTGGGTGGGAGACCTCTACCACACTCTGGCACCTTTCCAAGCCTCACCCAGCATCCACCTCATTTTCTTTTACAAGGGTTTCCTGGGTAACCCCTTGCATATTTAATCCTTGGATGTTTTAGTATGCATGAAATCATTGCTCATTTAATCCCATCTTGTTCTCATCTTCCTAGACCAAAAAAATCATCGTAGAATAAGAAAAAGAATAAGCATCATGCAGACTCTCATCTCAGAATTGGAGGCAGTAATTGATAAGTTTCTGGGCTGAGATTTTTTGATAAGAGGGTAAGAGGGTTTTGTAAGGAACATTAAGTTAGATAAGAGCTGTCTTTCTTTATGTTTCTTTTAGTAAGTAGAAGTTGGGAAGAAGGCTATGTGGGTAGCCAAAATAGTCAATCTTACAGATGATTGCCAGCATCTGTAACCTCTTTTCCTTAGGTTCAAGTATGTGGTTGGCAGTGTCCAGGTCTGGCATTGATGGTGTCAGCAGTACAAGCTGGTGTGTCTGTACTTAGTAATAGCACAAGAGTTTTCAGGGACGAATTTTTCAGCACCATAGTTGGCTTTGTTCTTGCTGCTTAGCCAGTGTTCCTGGCTTTCCAGCTCTCACAGGTTGTGGGAGCTTTAATACTTCCTCCTTTGCTTTAAATTGCCAGTTTTTCTTCCTGTTGCATACATAGAAGTACTCTGACTGTCAGTCCAGATTTTTATGTGAAACAAATGATGCAGTCAAAAGGATAACTGGAGATAAATAAACGCTTTTGACAAAGGTGTGGACAGTGTTCAGAGAAAACTGCAAAGGATGGTGAAGCCTCTTGCAGCTAGCAATAGCAGGGAGTCAATATCCCTACCATCTCTGAGGGAGCCAGGGATGGTCACTAGAACTCAGAATGAGGCTTGTAGCTAAAGGATATGGCTGTAGCAAGAAGCCTGGCCTTTGGGGAGGAATACAGCCATGGACAGTCTTTAGCACAGCTGAGAGGCAACTAGGGCAATAAAGAGCCATTCTCTCTCCTTTCACTCCCCACTCTCCTACTGGTACCTTCCAGTGGTTGCACCCAGGTAGAAGCTGGAAGGCAAGTGAGGCTGTCAATGCCATCCATAAACATCAGCATCCCAGGGCAGAAAGAGGGTGGGAAATGATGGAGACATATGGAGAAAAAGAGGATATCCAGTACATTGGCTGACAGAAGAGGAAAATGTTATTGTTTCTCAGCTTTGCTTAATTTAAAATGTAAGTGTATTTTTCTTTTTTTAATTTTATTATTATTATACTTTAAGTTTTAGGGTACATACACCCAGAAGAAGAATCTTCTGGCAGCATTGATCTGATCAGTTGATTATGACATGAGACTTTCAAAATCATGTATGGTTTATACCACATAATTCAGAAAGGTCAGTGAGGCTATTGCTTCACCCTTAATTTTGACAAATAATTTCACTGAATGTAGAATTCTGGATTCACTTTTTTTGTTGCGCATTAAAAATGTCATTCTCTTGTCTTCTGGTCTGCATTGTTTCTGTGGAAAAGTTGGCTGTCATTCATATTGCCATTCACCTATATCTGAGGTGTCTTTTTACCCCTAGCTGATTTTAAAGTATTCTGTTTTTATTTTGGTTTTAGTCATTTAATTATAATGTGCTTAGATGAAGTTTTCTTTACATTTATTGATACCACTTACTTTTTACTAAGATATTAATGTGTTTCCCGTCTCTCCAGATTGAAAGTCTTACATTGCCTGTTGTTGATGATTGTATTAGTTCATTTTCATGCTACTGTGAAGAAATACCCAAGACTGGGTAATTTATAAAGGAAAGAGTTTTAATTGATCACAGTTCTGCAGGGCTCGGGAGGCCTCAGTAAACTTACAATTATGGCAGAAGGGGAAGCAAATACATCCTTCTTCACATATTGGCAGCAAGAAGAAGAATGAAAGCCCAGTGAAGGGGGAAGCCCTTCATCTTGGTAGTCTTTTGATAACACTTGAATAATTTTTCACTATTGCTCTATTTGCCTATTTTATTATCTTCTGTGGATAGATATAGGATATTTTATTTGCTAAGGAAAGCATTTATTTCATATGGATTTCAATTATATTTTCACAAACTTGAGCTAAGATGTTTTAGTTTAATAACATTTTGTACCAATAGTTATTTTGCTGGTCCCATTTATTTTATAAGTGTGCTTTCTCCCTCTTTTAATTTTATTTCAATGGATAATCAATTTTTTATTTTGTTCCAATTTTCAAATGAAGAGCAAATAGATTTATTTATTATGTTTCCTACCTTTCTCCAACTCTTTTTTATTATATCTTGATGACTAGATTCTTCTTTTTCCATAGGTTTTTATTGTTGGTCAGTTTTAACTTGTTGATATACATGCTTAATTTTTACTTTTTGTTATTTGAAAAGTATTTACATTTTACATTGCTTTAGCTATATCTCATATGTTGAAATATAAGTCTTTTAAACTTTACCTCCTATAAATCCTGTGGTTTCATTTTTTATCCTCTCTTTGCATTTTTCGTTTTCTAGCTTGTATAAATTAATTAATTTTTTACTAAAGAATATCATCTGCACCATTTCTGTTTTTTGGAATTCATTAAAATTTTCTTCATTATTATAAGTTCAATTTTATTAGTGTCCCAGGTTGCTTGAAATGTAGTGTATTTTCCCTTTTTGTGAAATATATCAGACCACGTTAGTTAGATTATTTTAACCATCTCAACTTTTACTTTTTCAGGCTGCATGATCTCTCATGGACATAGTTATGATTTGACATTCTTTTTATGTGTGGTCTATATCCTCTAAATAGTATTTATAGCTAAATAAAAGGTTTTTTAAACAACATAATAAGTATTATGATATGAGGAAATAATGTGATTTTTTTTTTTATTTTTAGAGTATCAAAGATCAGTCAATAAAAATTCCCACTTGTTTGTCTCCCACAGTGAATTATGTTATATTTAAAGAAAACATAGAAGACCGGTGGATTCAGTTATTTCTAGCATTTGCTCTGGCAAGAGTGAGAAGAGTAGTTAAATACATACACACACAAATATTTGCATATACATACAACTATCATATCCCCTGGATTTGCTCACATTTGTAATAAAGCACTCTTTACAAACTAGTAAACACTGTCATTACTTACAAGGCTGGTTGACATGCTGTTACGAAGTCAGAATAAGTAAACGTTTAAAAGTTCTTTTCTATTTTGCTGTCATATATACAAA